>NC_000006.12:18544848-18696363 GCF_000001405.40 Homo sapiens
ACTCAATAGTTACTGTTCCTGCTCCTTTCACTCCTCCCACCCTCAAGTAGACTCCAGTGTCTGTTGTTTCCTTCTTTATGTTCATAAGTTCTTATCATTTAACCCTACTTATAAGTGAGAATATGCGGTATTTGGTTTTCTGTTCCTGTGTTAGTTTGCTAAGGATAACATCCTCCAGCTTTATCCAAGTTCCCACAAAGTACATGATCTCATTCTTTTTTTTATGACTCCATAGTATTCCGTGGTGTATATGCACCACACTTTCTTTATCCATTCTGTCATTGATGGGCATTTAGGTTGATTTCAGGTCTTTGCTATTGTGAATAGTGCTGCAGTAAATATTCACGTGCATATGTCTTTATGGTAGAATGATTTATATGTATTCCTCTGGGTACATGCCCAGTAATGGGATTGCTGGGTTTAATGGTAGTTCTGCTTTTAGCTCTTTGAGGCATTGTCATACTGCTTTCCACAATGGTTGAATTAATTTACACCTCCATCAACAGTGTGTAAGTGGTTCCCTTTTTTCTGCAACCTCACCAGCATCTGTTATTTTTTGACCTTTTAATAATAGCCATTCTGACTGGTGTGAGATGGTATCTCATTGTGGTTTTGATTTGCATTTCTCTAATGATCAGTGATATTGAGCCTTTTAAAGTATGCTTGTTGGCTCCATGTATGTCTTCTTTTGAGAAGTGTCTATTCATGTCCTTTGTCCACTTTTTAATGGGGTTGTTTGTTTTTTTCTTGTAAATTTGTTTAAGTTCCTTATAGATGCTGGATATTAGACCTTTGTCAGATGCATAGGAATAGGCAAAGGTTTCATGACAAAGACACCAAAAGCAATTGCAACAAAAGCAAAAATTGATAAGTGGGATCTAATTAAACTTAAGAGCTTCTGCCCAGCAAAAAAAAAAAAAAAAAAAAAAAAAAAAAAAAGCTATTAACAGAGTAAACAGACAACCTACAGAATGGGAGAAAATATTTGCAAACTATGCATCTGAGACAAATTTTAACTAAACTTTTGAAAGCTTAGTTTCAAAAAAGACAAAAAAAGGAGCTTGAAAGCAGCAAGGGAAGTGACTCATCACAAGCAAGGGAACAATAATAAGATTATCAGCATATTCCTCATCAGAAACTTTAAAGGCCAAAATGCAGTGGGCTGATGTATTCAAAGTGCAAAAAGAAAAAACAAGAATCATTTATCCAGCAATATTGTCCTACAAAAATGAAGGAGAAATTAAGACATTTCCAGATAAACAAAAGTTGAGGGAGTTCATTACCACTAGAACTGCCCTGCAAGAAATGCTAAAGGGAGTCCTGCAGGTTGAAATGAAAGGACATTAGACAGTAACTTGAAGCCATATGAAGAAATAAAAATCTCAGTAAAGGTAAAGAAGGGCGATTATAAAAGCTGGTGTTATTGTAACAATGGTTTGTAACTCTGCTTTTTGTTTCCTCCATGATGTAAGAGACTGATACATTTTTTAAAAGCAATTATTAGTCTAAAACCTAGTAGTGTTATAATTTTGGTTTTTAATTCCACATTTTGTTTCTCTATAATTTAAGAAGTTAATGCATTAAAAATTATTAGTTTATGTTTTTGACACACAATGTATAAAGATGTAATTATGTGGCATGAACAATTGAAAGGAGAGTGGACAGAGATGTAAAGGAGCAGTGTTTTTATGTTATTGAAGTTAAGTTGGTATGAATCCCAATTAGAATATATAACTTCAGGATATTAAATACAGTCCCTATGGTGACTACAAAGAAAATAGAATATATACAAAAGGAAATGAAAAAGGAATTGAAACTATGCAAAATTTCACTATAAAAATCAACTATAAGGTGTAAGGAAGGGGTCCAGTTTCAGCTTTCTACATATGACTAGCCGGTTTTCCCAGCACCATTTATTAAATAGGGAATCCTTTCCCAATTTCTTGGTTTTGTCAGGTTTGTCAAAGATCAGATAGTTGTAGATGTGTGGCATTATTTCTGAGGGCTCTTTTCTGTTCCGTTGGTCTATATCTCTGTTTTGGTACCAGTACCATGCTGTTTTGTTTACTGTAGCCTTGTAGTATAGTTTGAAGTCAGGTATCAGGTAGCATGATGCCTCCAGCTTTGTTCTTTTGGCTCAGGATTGACTTGGCAATGTGGGCTCTTTTTTGGTTCCATATGAACTTTAAAGTAGTTTTTTCCAATTCTGTGAAGAAAGTCATTGGTAGCTTGATGGGGATGGCATTGAATCTATAAATTATCTTGGGTGGTATGGCCATTTTCATGATATTGATTCTTCCTATCCATGAGCATGGAATGTTATTCCATTTGTTTGTATCCTCTTTTATTTCGTTGAGCAGTGGTTTGTAGTTCTCCTTGAAGAGGTCCTTCTCATCCTTTGTAAGTTGGATTCCTAGGTATTTTATTCTCTTTGAAGCAATTGTGAATGGGAGTTCACTCATGATTTGGCTCTCTGTTTGTCTGTTATTGGTATATAAGAATGCTTGTGATTTTTGCACATTGATTTTATATCCTGAGACTTTGCTGAAGTTGCTTATCAGCTTAAGGAGATTTTGGGCTGAGACGATGGGGTTTTCTAGATATACAATCATGTCATCTGCAAACGGGGACATTTTGACTTCCTCTTTTCCTAATTGAATACCCTTTATTTCCTTCTCCTGCCTGATTGCCCTGGCCAGAACTTCCAACACTATGTTGAATAGGAGTGGTGAGAGAGGGCATCCCTGTCTTGTGCCAGTTTTCAAAGGGAATGCTTCCAGTTTTTGCCCATTCAGTATGATATTGGCTGTGGGTTTGTCATAAATAGCTCTTATTATTTTGAGATATGTCCCATCAATACCTAATTTATTGAGAGTTTTTAGCATGAAGGGTTGTTGAATTTTGTCAAAGGCCTTTTCTGCATCTATTGAGATAATCATGTGGTTTTTGTCATTGGTTCTGTTTATATGCTGGATTATGTTTATTGATTTGCATATGTTGAAGCAGCCTTGCATCCCAGGGATGAAGTCCACTTGATCATGGTGGATAAGCTTTTTGATGTGTTGCTGGATTCGGTTTGCCAGTATTTTATTGAGGATTTTTGCGTCGATGTTCATCAGGGATATTGGTCTAAAATTCTCTTTTTTTGTTGTGTCTCTGCCAGGCTTTGGTATCAGGATGATGCTGGCCTCATAAAATGAGTTAGGGAGGATTCCCTCTTTTCCTATTGATTGGAATAGTTTCAGAAGGAATGGTAGCAGCTCCTCCTTGTACCTCTGGTAGAATTCGGCTGTGAATCCGTCTGGTCCCGGACTTTTTTTGGTTAGTAAGCTATTAATTATTGCCTCAACTTCAGAGCCTGTTATTGGTCTATTCAGAGATTTAACTTCTTCCTGGTTTAGTCTTGGGAGGGTGTATGTGTCGAGGACTTTATCCATTTCTTCTAGATTTTCTAGTTTATTTGTGTAGAGGTGTTTACAGTATTCTCTGATGGTAGTTTGTATTTCTGTGGGATCGGTGGTGATATCCCATTTATCATTTTTTATTGCATCTATTGGATTCTTCTCTCTTTTCTTCTTTATTAGTCTTGCTAGCGGTCTATCAATTTTGTTGATCTTTAAAAAAAAAACAAAAATTAATTCAAGATGGATTAAAGACTTAAATGTTAGACCTAAAACCATGAAAACCCTAGAAGAAAACCTACGCAATACCATTCAGGACATAGGCGTGGGCAAGGACTTCATGTCTAAAACACCAAAAGCAATGGCAACAAAAGCCAAAATTGACAAATGGGATCTAATTAAACTAAAGAGCTTCTGCACAGCAAAAGAAACTACCATCAGAGTGAACAGGCAACCTACAGAATAGGAGAAAATTTTTGCAATCTACTCATCTGACAAATGGCTAATATCCAGAATCTACAAAGAACTCAAACAAATTTACAAGAAAAAAACAAACAACCCCATTGACAAGTGGGTGAAGGGTATGAACAGACACTTCTCAAAAGAATACATTTATGCAGCCAACAGACACATGAAAAAATGCTCATCATCACTGGCCATCAGAGAAATGCAAGTCAAAACCACAATGAGATACCATCTCACACCAGTTAGAATGGCAATCATTAAAAAGTCAGGAAACAACAGGTGCTGGAGAGGATGTGGAGAAATAGGAACACTTTGACACTGTTGGTGGGACTGTAAACTAGTTCAACCATTGTGGAAGTCAGTGTGGTGATTCCTCAGGGATCTATAACTAGAAATACCATTTGACCCAGCCATCCCATTACTGGGTATATACCCAAAGGAGTATAAATCATGCTGCTATAAAGACACATGCACACGTATGTTTATTGCGGCACTATTCACAATAGCAAAGACTTGGAACCAACCCAAATGTCCATCAGTGATAGACTGGATTAAGAAAATGTGGCACATATACACTATGGAATACTATGCAGCCATAAAAAATGATGAGTTCATGTCCTTTGTAGGGACATGGATGAAGCTGGAAACCATCACTCTCAGCAAACTATCACAAGGGCAAAAAACCAACACCTCATGTTCTCACTCATAGGTGGGAATTAAACAATGAGAACACTTGGACACAGGAAGGGGAACATCACACACCAGGGCCTGTTGTGGGGTGGGGGAGGGGGGAGGGATAGCATTAGGAGATATACCTAATGTAAATGACAAGTTAATGGGTGCAGCACACCAACAAGGCACATGTATACATATGTAACAAACCTGCACGTTGTGCTCATGTACCCTAAAACTTAAAGTATAATAAAAAAAATAATCAACTAAACACAAAAGATAATAATGCAGGAAATGAAGGTTAAAAAAACCCTTTAAGGTATGTAGAAAACAAACAGCAAAATGACAGAAGGAAGTGCCCCCTTATCCATCCACCTTAAGAAGGAAGGAAATTTTGACCTATGCTACAACAGGAATGAACCTTTAGGACATTATGCTAAGTGAAATTTTCCAGTCACAAAAAGACAAATACTGTATGAATTAATTAATATGAGGAATTTAGAGTAGTCAAAATCATAGAAACTGAAAGTAGAATGTTGGGGGCCTGGAGGTAAAATGCTGGGGCGGGGGAGAAATGGGGAGTTAATGCTTAAAGGGTTTAGAGTTTCAGTTTTACAAGATAAGAGATCTGAAGATGGATGGTGCTGATGGTTGTACAACAATATGAACATGCTTAATACCGCTGAACTGTACTCTTAAAATGGTTAAGACAATAAATTTGATATATGTATTTTACCACAGTACAAAAAATTGGAAAAAAGCTAATGTATTAACGTATTGTTTAGAGCTTTAACATTTTCCAAGTGCTTTTCTATCTCTGCCCTATGTGAGGGCAGGAACCTTGTCTAGTGTATCTCGGAGATGTATCCACAGTGCCTGCATAGAGCCAGGTGCTGTGATAGACATAAAAATCATTGTTAAATATTGCTGAATGGGCATATTTTCTTATTGAAGCATTATACCTGCTTTATGAGACCATATAGAACACAGCTAGTTCTGTGCTCTATAAAGTCATCGGGAATATTGAATTAGTGAATAGTGGATACTGAACCCTTGCTCTTAGGGTAAATACAGAGTGAGGTTTCTTTGAGCCTCTGGTCACAACATTTTCATCAATTAATAAATAACCTTGTGCATTTCTGTTTAAAGATGCCTTACTTAATATATATTGTTGATTCATGAAGATCGAACTCACAGCCAACAGCGCTATAACTCATGCCTGAATGAAGCTTATCTAACACAGGCGTTTTCTCTGTAGGGTACATCACAGCCTTCTTGTGCTTAAAGACGGTAGACAACACTTCAGTGCTATGGTTGGGGGCCATTTTAAACAGCAAAATCACCAAGAAAAAGCACAAAAATGTGAAAAGGTGGCACTAAATAGAACACAAAAAGTGCACCTCTTTTCAGTATCAGGGCTAAAAACAGAAAGCACGGTGTCACCTTGTTCTCCCTCAGCTGAGCACATTCATGTCAGATGACTTCGATTTTTTGCCTCTCTGCATATCTGTGAATGATCATGAAAGCATGGTGAGTATTGATTTTTTTTTGGGGGGGTTATAAATAAATATTAGGGAGTAAGGGAACTTGCAGATACAGAATCTGTGAATGATGAAGATTTGCTGCATGAATATGTCCTTTTTGCATGTTTAGAAAATCCAGAAAGAAAAGTTTTTCAAGTTCAAAAAGATGTGTCTGAGGTCTTACGAGTAGAACTGAAACCTAAGCCTTCTGACTTCTGGGTCAACATCCATGCCAATATCCAATGTTGCCTTCTTAAGAAGTGGAGGGGGGCGTAGGTCAAACTCATGATCATACAGATAACACCTATTTTTGAACAGTAGGTAGTATCTGTGCTTAAAGTTATCAAGTTCTATAATTTGAAATTACATTGATATTCCTACAAGTTATCTATTTTGTAACTTACGTTACTCATTTGTAACAAAAACATACATAGTCACTGAATCCTACTATGACTGTAAAAGGAAAAGTAATTGGGGCTTATTTGTCTCAGATGTGCATTGCACGAGTGCAATGGGAACATCATGACTCACTGCCTTGTTTGTGGTGGATAGCCAGCCAGTGCTTGTTATATACAAGATTCCAGTAGTAGGAGGAGGCTGGAGAAAAGATAAAGAGGAGATGGGCAACTGCCTTCAAAAATATCTTGGGGTTATTCTGTGTTGTTTTGGTGCTTTCATCTTCTATAGAGGCCAGCTAAGTCAGGGTGCTCAGCTCTAAGTACAAAACCCAAATTGGTTAGATTAAGTACTTAATTTTATTTTCTTTTTCATTTTTTCCAGCTTTATTGAGGTATGATTAACAAATAAGAGTTTTATATATTTGTGGTGTACAACATGATGTTTTGATACATGCATATATTGTGAAATGACTACTGTGATCAAGCTCATTAATATATCCATCAGCTCACATAGTTACCCTTTTTGGTGTGTATGTGGTGAGAACATTTAAGATCTACTTTCTTAGCAAATTACAAGTATACCATACAGTCTTATTAATGATAGTCACTGTGGATGATTTTAGTTTTGGATCCATAACACCAAGATGGCAAAACACAGCTGTGTATTCTAATGTTGGGAATGAGAAGGCAATAACTATTCCTTGTGGAATATTAATTTTATGCCACTCCACATATTTTCCAAAAACACTTTCCAAATTGTATTCTGTAGGACATTAGTATTCCATGAGATCTTAAAAGATACACTATAAAAAAACAAAAAGTTGTTTAAGGTGAAGAGAGTTTGGTAAACATTGGGTTAAGCAGTTTTTTTTATTTTTTATTTTTTTTATTATACTTTAAGTTCTAGGGTACATGTGCACAATGTGCAGGTTTGTTACATATGTATACATGTGCCATGTTGGTGTGCTGCACCCATTAACTCGTCATTTACATTAGGTATATCTCCTAATACTATCCCTCCCCCCACCCCACAACAGGCCCCAGTGTGTGATGTTCCCCTTCCTGTGTCCAAGTGTTCTCATTGTTCAACTCCCACCTATGAATGAGAACATGCGGTGTTTGGTTTTTTGCCCTTGTGATAGTTTGCTGAGAATGATGGTTTCCAGTTTAAACAAACAACCCCATCAAAAAGTGGGCAAAGGACATGAACAAACACTTCTCAAAAGAAGACATTTATGCAGCCAACAGACACATGAAAAAATGCTCATCATCACTGGGCATCAGAGAAATGCAAATCAAAACCACAATGAGATACCATCTCACACCAGTTAGAATGGCCATCATTAAAAAGTCAGGAAACAACAGGTGCTGGAGAGGATGTGGAGAAATAGGAACACTTTTACACTGTTGGTGCGACTGTAAACTAGTTTAACCATTGTGGAAGACAGTGTCGCGATTCCTCAGGGATCTAGAACTAGAAATACCATTTGACCCAGCCATCCTATTACTGGGTATGTACCCAAAGGAGTATAAATCATGCTGCTATAAAGACACATGCACACGTATGTTTATTGCAGCACTATTCACAATAGCAAAGGCTTGGAACCAACCCAAATGTCCAGCGATAGACTGGATTAAGAAAATGTAGCAGTTTTCTTTAATGCAGGTTTCTTGGAACCGCTAGTAAGCTTGTATGTGTGTTCACTCTCTCAGAGAATGTAATTGTGGGACACCCAGAAATATCTCTTGTTCTGCAGATCGTCGTTTGGACAATGCTGTTGTGCAGTATTGTATACAAAATTCCAGGGAAAGTGAGAGAAGAGAGAGTTAAAATTTTCATTCTGCTGAGATGGAAAAGTCAAGTGAGATTGAGTTATATTCTCTACCTTACACTACTGGAGAATCTTAGCATGTGAAACTACATCTCTGGCAGCAGTTATGGAGAGACAATGTCTGTCTGCCTCATGCAGTATATAATGGGCAAATCCAGTGAATCTCTTTCCTGAACCTAGAGGGTACTGTGGAGGTTGCAGGAAAGATTTCCTCTACAACCAAGAGTCAAGCCAGGGCTCTTAGAAGTGTGGGGCTTGTAGTGGGTTGAACGGTGGTCTCCCTCTACCCCAAATTATATGTCTAACCAGAACCTGTGAATGCAACCTTATTTGAAAATAGGGTCTTTGCAGATGTATTTAAGTTAAGGATCTGAGATGAGACCATCTTGATCTTGAAATCAAGAAGAGGAAAACAGTGTTCTACATGCCAATCTTCTAGTGTAAGAAAGAGTTTATCTAGATGGACACTAAATCTAAGGATAGACATCTTTATAAAAGAAAAGGCAGAGGGAGGTTTGAGACAGAGAGAAGAGTCTGTGAAGATAGAGGTAGAGATAGAAATTGTGCAGCTACAAACCAAGGAGCTCCTGGAACCACCAGAAGGTGGAAGAGGCAAGGAATGGATTCTCCTCTAGAGCCTTTAGAGGGAGCATGGTCCTGGCACGGTGGAAGAATTGACGGGAAGGTGAACATGGACTGTCTGGAGAGCAAGGCCACCATGGAGGTGGGAAGGATGCTCTACTGCATGGTAAAGGGTTAGAATAGGGCAACTCTGGGAGAGTACTCTGGCAAGAAAATAAAATACATTTCCCTTGCCTTGGATAAATCAGTTGGGGGACTTGGGGACAGGTTCAGAGTGAAGTCAGCAGGAAGCAAGCATAGTCTCTGACTGCTGCTGAGTCCCACATCTTTCAGGACAGTGGAGCACTCCCGGGACACTGCAGTGTGAATTTCAGGAAAATGCACCCTAGTAAAAAGACATTCCACATATGCAGCCGTTGCAAATGAAACAGAAAAAAGTTGCTAACAAAAAAATGTGTTACTGTTTCTACCTTCTAGGAGAATGGCATAATATATTATTTCCAAGGTAGTGACTCTATTGCTTTCAAATAGCCCTGATGGGACTTTTGATTGAGAAAAACAAAACTTCCTAGGCATATTGAGGATGAGTCAGGATGAGACAGATATAATGTGTTACTGCTCTCATAATAGAGTAAAATAGATAGAGGGGGCTAAGGTCTGTGAATGGAAAGGGAAGGGAGGTGTGAGGAGGATGGAGTAAGAGTGAGAGGTCCTAAGAACATGGAGGGAGGCTGTGTGTGATCGATGGAGAAATATGGTCCTGAGAGATTTCTTGTAGTCAAGAATGGCCAATACATGTCTACCTTTAACTGGTATTGGAAGGAAGTAGTTTCCTGCTCTGTGCTCTAAATACTCTCTATTACCCTCAAGATGTCAGCAAAATGTGATACATAGCAATCTTGTGTTAGAGATGCTTTAGGAATTGCAGAAAAACCATGCTATCAAGTGGTAGGGAAGTGAGTGGCAAGAGGATGTCTGTCACAGAAACTAGGGATAGAGGGGCTGGCAATGGCAGAGATGCAGGTGGAGTGGACTGATTCAGGGGAGGCAGAGGCAAACCTGAGGAAGGTGCTAGGCCTCTTGCCATGTGTGGCCTGGGAGCTTTATCTAGATATTAAAAAGAGGGTTCATCACAGAAGAATGGGGGGTCATTCAGACTGAGGGTATCTGGGCTTCTGAGTAAAGTCAGATGTGCTCAGGACTGGGGTGTGGGTGGGTAGAATTTGGGTGTGCTTAATTGAGGCGGATTTGTGAGCTTATACAAACTACTGAGTTCATCGCTATAAGTGTTGAATTTAACATAACTCTTTGGTAAAGCACCTGCCCTATATTTAGAATATTCTCACGAGGCTGTGTATGTCTATGCTTGGATGGTAGATATTTAGGATGGGGAAAGTGGAAGGAAGCTATGCCAATTAGAAAGTGCCATGAAACCAATGCCTTGTGGAAAACTATGCAAGAAGACTGATCCTGGTGGTGCAGAAATATAATCTCATTTGAACAAGGAACAGAGAGAAATGGAAAGGCAGAATGACAAAGGTATTGGTTCAGTGGGAACCATTGAAGATGACTGCAGGAGGAACAGAAAGTTATAACCTAGTAATATCCCATTCAGTATTGTATCTGAAGTCATTCTGAGAAGAGAAAAGTGATTGGTTTGAATCTACTTGGTAAAAACTAATCAAAGTGATAATTGATGTTATGTGTGTTCAGTCTGCCATATTGCCATACTTGTTATTCTTAGATGTAAAGGTTTTAAATATCCAATAATAGGTAAGGGTGAAATATCATCTAAGACTGAGATTCCATTTCACCCAAGGCTGTCAAATTTGTGTGAGTAGAAGTTAACACAAAATTAAATATTACTGTTTTAGTGATTATAATGATATGCTGAACAAGGGCTACTTTGGGAAAAAAAGAGCCCGCTTGTATATAGAGTACTTTATTATGTCTTCCCACATGATTAGGTTGATGTCTGGGTTTCCGATTCCTTCTGAGGCCTGAGAGAAGATTAGATCACTCATTCCCAACTGGTCATTTCTCTCTGTAGATGGGAGAATCAGTGCTAATTGATACTTTTTATATTTAATTATACTTAATTACTTCTGTCTGGCTGCCCTGAAACCAAGAAGAGGAAAACAGTATTCTACATGCAAATCTTCTAACATAAACATTTCTTAACCTTATTTGCTTCAAGATTGGTCCAAATATAAAATCTTTAAGATAAAAGCTGTTTAAAGTGGTTTCTTATCTGTATTTTGGTCCTGTCTCTGGAGCCCCCCGTTCTGGAAACCATTTGTGAGATTTCTGTGATAGGGAATTTGCTCATTTTCTACTTCCCTGGCACCCGACTCTTCTGTATTAGGTCTTAATGTATTCATTTCCTAGTCTTTTTGTTAGCTTGCCTAAACTGCATCCATAACCTTTAGGTCCATCTTTCTCCCTTTGAACCATCAGATACAGGTCTTTGGTCACAGTGCTCTTCCCAATGGCTTGAGAATATCACCCCTCTTTCAAAAGGAAAATGCTTTCTGTTTTTTTTTTTTTCTGGATAAAATTCCCTACCTGGTCCCAGTGTACTGTTCCCAGTTTTCTGCTATTCCCCTGTGCCAGTCAAGTTGTTTTATTTGTCCTCTCCTGATGTCCTACATTTTACCCATCTGGAACCCACTCTTTTCACTCCTCTCTGTCTCTCTGAATCCTAACACCTCTCAAGGGGCAGATCCCATTCTCCTGCTCTGGATGCCTCCCCTGACCAGCCCAAGTCTGATGAGATTTTTGCCTTCTTTAATATCCTAGGAGTTTATTGTCAAGCACATTGATTTGGAAATCTAGAGAGTCACCTAGGGAGTTCAATAGAAAGGAGGCCTTGGCTGGGCAGGTGGGGTGGGGGAGAATTCCAGTAAAAACTCTGCTTCTTACACGTATAAAGAGTTCAGGTAAGTTTACTAATCTTCATTGATTCTCTTTTTTTTATTGCTAAAATGGAGACAAACTACTCTGTCTACTCTTCTTGGTTGTCTTGAGGATTAATAAATGTCATGTATATGTAAAAGTCTTTGTAATCTGGAAAGGGCTACAGAAGTGTAAATTATGGTATCTGCTGTTAGAGATCTCTGTTTTTGAACTGACTCCCTATCAAAACCTTCCTTTATTATTTAATGCCTCCCATATCTATGTTTAATCAGTATAATCCACTTCACCAGCCAGGGTACAAATATAGTAACACCACACAATATTTTTCTAATTAATTTCTTAACTTACTCTCTACCCACTCCTCTACCATGCCTACCATGATTAACAGGAAGTCTGTTCCCTCCCTCTCAGAATTCCCCAATACCCACCTTCTCCAATTGTTTAAGAACTAAGGTTTTACTCAGCCCCCAAAGGCAAGTCTTGTTTTTAAAAGAAAGGCAGAGAGAGAGAGGACTAGAATTCCATTGAGTCCACTGTTGAACATTGGTTTCTCCCGGCTTGGTAGATACTTCTGCATTCAGAAATAATCCTCTTGTCTGGGTGCAGTGGCTGATGCCTGTAATCCCAGCACTTTGAAATGCTGAGGCAATAGGATCACTTGAGGAGTTTGAGACCAGCCTGACCAACATGGTGAAACACCATCTCTACTAAAAATGCAAAACTTAGCTGGGCATGGTGGCATGTGCCTGTAATCCCAGATTCTTGGGAGGCTGAGGCAGGAGAATCACTTGAACCAGGAGGTGGAAGGTGTAGTGAGCCCAGATCATGCCATTGCACTCCAGCCTGGGTGACGGAGCAAGACTGTCTCAAACAAACAACAGAAAATAAATAATCCTCTTGCAGGCCCTGATGCCTATATAGGTGGAAGCCGTGGGTCCCCCAGTATGGCAGCATGGCATTCTGCCAGTGTCTCTGGCAGCCATGGAGGTGACAGCTCAGATCTCCTTCCAGGAGAACATGCTGCAGACAGCAGAGCTGACTGAGGGCCTCTACTATCTCACCTTTAGATGGGGTGGAGGTGGGAGTAGGAGGCAGTAACCAGAATCAGGACATTTCTGCCTAATACAGGTGCTTCTAGCAGGCAACTTCGACTCAGACATTTCCCATGAGCCTGGTAGAGACTTCCTCAGAGCTTCTCTGTGCTCTGGGGCTCTTCCCACCTGACCCACCTTGCTTCCCCTTCTCCTTTCACAGTGTCTGTCCTGCAGCATGGTCTGAAGGCTCTCCACATCATCATCATCATCATCATTTTTTTTTTTTTGAGACGGAGTCTTGCTCTGTCTCCCAGCCTGATTGCAGTGGCACAATCTTGGCTCACTGTAACCTCCACCTCCCAGGTTCAAGCGATTCTTCTGCCTCAGCTTCCTGAGTAGCTGACATTACAGGCATGCACCACCACACCTGGCTAGTTTTTGTATTTCTAATACAGACGGGGTTTCACCATGTTGGTCAGGCTGGTCTCGAACTCCTGGCCTCGTGATCTGCCCGCCTCAGCCTCCCAAAGTTCTGGGATTACAGGAGTGAGCCACCGCACCTGGCCTCACATCTTCTTTTTTCCCCCATCCACTTTTTATTCTATAGGAACATTTCTTCTGACAAATCTCTTCCATCTCTAATCCTGCCTTGGTATCTATTTTTAGGAAGGTCTGAAATGACACAGAAGGGTCTCCAGCCTCACTCCATACTCACCAGAAAGGGGCTTCATGCCCTTTCTTTCCAGGAAATCTTCTCTCTGGGACTCCCCTTTCTTGTCAATGGACCTTGGGAATGGCTACTCTAGTTGTTCTTCACAGATGTTCCATTGTGAATCTCAGGGAGCTCAGGTTGAGGTTCCCAAAAAATCCTCAGAAGACTTCAGATTTCTTTCTGCAGATTTTCTCACCCCATCCACAGAGCTGAGCAACATGGGGAGAGACATCTTTTGTGTCTACCTCCAGTACATAGGTCTTGTTACATGCTCTTTCCAGAGAAGGGGGTGCCCATCACCCCAACATTTTAAAATTCAAGGCAGAAGCAGTTTAAATTACTTTTTCTAAAAATGAACAAACAGAAAACAAAAAGCTGCCCCAGGTGACTTGCTATTTCCACCCTTAGATTTAATAGAGGCTCACGTGGTTTTAGGCATCCCTTGGTCAGCATCCTTTTCATATATTTTGTCTTCACCATATTGCAAGCTTCTTGAGAACTGCTTTTTGGGTTTCAGATTGTTCATTTGTAAAACTGAGGGCTAGATTACATTTAAAGATCCCTTTTAGTTGTGTGATTTCCAAGGAAGATATAATATTAGAGATGGGCTATTAAGTGATTTTCTTCCTTTAGATACTGTGTTTATTCTGTTTGATAATCTATCTTACACATAGCATTTTCTGATTTACTCACATACATTGCATTGTTTGATCCACATACGTAACTTGTGAAATGGCAGAGTAAATATCTGCTGCCTTTTACATGTCAGAAACTTGAGACTTGTTGAAGTTAAAGGACAAGCCCAAGATCCTGGAGGAGGCTCTGGGTTTTGTGCCTGTTGTTGACTAATCCTCTAATCGAAATGCCTTATGATTTTCTTTTCACATCCTGCCCTATAACTATAAACACAGCACCCTTCATGCAGCACCTTTATGTTTCTCTTATTCTCACACATCTGTATTTGGAGGCAAGGGGCAAGTAAAGGTATTACAGATTCAAATGCCTGAAAGAGCCAGGCAGGATAAGATAGTGAAGCAGGGTCAGGCTCCTGCAACAAGAGGGCAGGGGACTACGGCCAACTGAAGAGCACAGGTTCTGTCCAAAAGGGACAGTCCCTGTTCAGCACTACCTCACTGTTGACACTAAGGAATGCTGGCCCAAGGTTGCCAAATTTTTAGTGCTTCAGGAAAGCTGGAACTATATATATCTTAATATGAAATTTGCATTTTAAGATATCAAAATAATTTTAATTTTTGTTTAATTTTTTATTTTAAAGTCAGGGTTGTGCTGTGTTGCGCAGGCTGGAGTGCAGTGGCATGATTATAGCTCATTGTAGCCTGGATCTCCTGGGCTCAAGCGACCCTCCTGCCTCAACCTCCTGAGCAGCTAGGACCACAGGCATGCATCACCACATATGACTAATTTTTCTACCTTTTGCAAAGATGAGGTCTTGCTATGTTGCCCAGGGTGGTATCAAACTCCTGGCCTCAAGTGATCCTCCCACCTCAGCCTCCCAAAGTATTGGGATTACAGACGTGAGCCACTGTACCTCGACAAAATAATTTTAAAAATATTTTAAACCCTGTGAGTCTCAACACACACACATATATAGATGGTGTTTGTTCCATAGATATCCAACTTAGATACTACTGCTTTGGAAGTATGAACTATGTTTAATTGACTTGGGGGGCTGAGGCAGGAGGATTGCTTGAGTCTAGGAATTTGGGACCAGCCTGGGCAACATAGGTAGACCTTGTCTCTACAAAATATAAATTAGCCAGGCATGGTGGTGCGTGCCATGGTCCCAGCTACCCTGGAAGCTAAGCTGGGAGGATTGCTTGAGCCTAGGTGGTTGAGGCTGCAGTGGGCCAAGATTGCACCATTACACTCCAGCCAGGGTGACAGAGAAAGACCCTGTCTCAAAATCAATAAACAAAAACAAACAAAAAAACTAACTTGGCAAGTTTCCCTCCAAAAAATCCTATGAAATGATTTGATGTATTTTGCTACTTTTATTAAAAGTTTGATATAAATAGTAACAAATAAGAATAGCTACCGATTGTTGGATGGCTGCTATGTTCCAGGGAGTATGCTTGATGTTTGACACGCATCATTCAGAATTCTTCTAGTGACCTTCTGAGATATCTATTATTATCCTTATTTTACAGACAAGGAAGCTGAGGCCCAGAGCTGACCTAATTTGTTAGGGGTACATAGTCAGTAAACCCAGATTTCTGGCTTTTTATTTAGTGTGTTCTTGCTTTTTATTTATTACATCATATTTCCAATATCCTCAGAGAAGACAGAAGGAGTGAAATGAAACGTGTGGTAATTCCCCTATTTTGAAACAAATCAAAGTGGTTTCTATATGGACAACTTAAAAGACAGAGTCTTCTTTTCTGAAATGGAAGAGATGTCCTTATCTTTGGCAAAGGCGGAGGAAGGGGAAAGAAAAAGAGATATCTCACAATGTAATGTGCTCTTCTTTTCTTTCCAAAACTCTAAGCTAGGAATAGACAAGGCCCCCAATCAGCTAGTGTCTGTTGGGCTGTTGCATTCAGACTGTCTGTCTGCTTTGACCATAATGTTCTGTGAGATGTCCACTGGCTTACTCCTGCTATCTTTTCCTTCTATTTCCAGAAAGCAAACTTCAGAAGAAAAAAAAAAAGATCTCTGTTTAGGGTCTGAAGTCAAGTCCAAATATAACAGGATCCCAATAACTTCCCCCACCCGCTAGGGTTTAAAACCACATTCCCTCTGCCCAGATGGCTGCTGCAGAAAGAGGCAGCATTCACCCACTGCTTCCTCCTTTTGTTGGCTGCCCCCTGATTACAGCTAATGACTCCCAGCTGTACTGCCTCCAAAGACTTGGGAAAGATGAATCTTTAAAAAATAATCTAATAACTAGACTCCTCCAGGGATGGGCGGGGTTGATGCCAATCCCATTGGAACACTGCCTCATTCAGAATCTAGCTGGGTGGTGTGGTGTGTGCCTTGGAAAGGGAGGAGAGTTGCTATGTGCATTCTGAAGACCTCTTGATGTTCCCTGTAAGAATCTCATTGACTCTATTTTCTCACCTTAGTTGAAAAAAAAATCTGCGAATACTTAGAAAAAAATTTAATGTGTGTAACACAGACTTTGGCTCCTATACAGAGAATCTGACGAAATGTGTTTTAGAGCTATGACTATCCAAACTGGGTGTACTTAAGGATCAGTATCATGGAGAATTTTTCAACATGGTTATATCATACAAAAAAGTAGATATCTACGAAATTTTAAAACTTGGCATTCTGG
Organism: Homo sapiens; assembly: GCF_000001405.40. Taxonomy (NCBI): domain Eukaryota; kingdom Metazoa; phylum Chordata; class Mammalia; order Primates; family Hominidae; genus Homo; species Homo sapiens. The sequence continues at coordinate 18,561,679 of NC_000006.12, forward strand.
AGTTTCCATTTGTCTTTGAAATGTCAGGTTCTCTGAAAAGTTGACTTCAAATACAGGGATCCATCAGAAAGAAAAATCAAAACTCAAATGACATCAGTCATGAAAACTATCTGGAATAGATTGGTAGAGATTGATAGGTCTTTTCTTCTTTCTTCTACTTCCCCTCTTCCTCTTTTTCTTCCTCCTCCTCTTCTTCTTTGTTCTTTTCTTCCTCTTTTTTCCTCTTTCTCTTTCCTCCTTTTCTTTTTTTTTTTTAACAACAAAAATAACAACCTGAAATGCTGGGTGAGAAAGGCAGGGAATGAAATTTTACCAACTTGAAATTTGATAGTTTTTCTCAAACCATTTTTATAGAAGTGTTTGAAGCAGTTGTCCCCTAAAACTGCAGATATAATTTATTCCATATGCCCATATTGAACATCTCTGGTGAACTAAGCCAGGTGCTGAGGTTAGATACATAAATAACTCATTGGTTTCTTCATGTTCTTTCAGAGTGCTGATTGAATAAATCACATTCTTGAGCAATTTATGACTCTGTTGTCTAGTTCTGTAATGATTTCTTTGTGGAACACCTTATCTTCCTGGAAGGTAATGTCTAAAAAGAGAGTGAGCTTTGGAGTCAGTGATAAGCTTGAATTGTGACACTGCCCCTTACTGAAACTTTCTTTCTTTCCTTCTTTTTTTTTTTTTTTGAGATGGAGTTTTTAATTCTTGTCACCCAGATTGGAGTTTTTAATTCTTGTCACCCAGATTGGAGTACAGTGGCACAATCTTGGCTCACTGCAACCTCCATCTGCCAGGTTCAAGCGATTCTCCTGCTTCAGCCTCCCAAGTAGCTGGGATTACAGGCATGCACCACCACTCCCAGCTAATTTTTGTACTTTTAGTAAAGATGGGGTTTCATCATGTTGTCCAGGCTGGTCTCAAACTTCTCAGGTTATCGACCCTTTTCCGCCTCCCAAAGTGCTGGGATTATAGATGTGAGCCACTGCTTCTGGCCCCTTACTGAAACTTTCTGAGCTTTACTTTCATCATCTGTAAAATGGAACTTGGAAGATTGCTGTGAGGAATAGCATTCTATTGCGGTCCCGGCAGGCTGTTTAAGTGCATCCTATAGACCTCCTTTTAAAAACCTCCATGTGTTGCTTAATGACGGGGGTGTGTCCTGAGAAATACATCTTTAGATTATTTTATCATTGTGCAAACATCATAGAGTGTACTTATGCAGACCTGGATAATATAGTCACTATACAACTAGGCTACATGATACAGCCTTTTGCCCCCAGGCTGCAAACCTGTACAGCAGGTTACTGTACTGAATACTGTAGGCAATGGGAACACAATGGTATTTGCGCATCAAACATACCTAAACACAGAAAAGGTATAGTAAAAATACAGTATTATAATCTTATGGGACCACTTATGTATACATGGTTCGTTATTGACAAACATCATTACATGGTCCATGACTGTATTTTTATTATGGTCTTTATTATTATACTCCTTATTCATTCTGGATTTTCTACCACAGCCCCAATTTTAGTTAAAATTTTTTTATAGTGGCAATTTGTTACAAATACTATCTAAAATTAATTATTAATAAATAGGTATGTCAAGAGGAAAAGTAAAATTCACCTGATTTGCATCCTGATTTTTGATTCAGAAAATATGATAGTATTTAGCACAGTTTGTTTTATATTCTATCACAATATAATATGGTATAGTTATTTAATATATTTGTATGCTTATATAACACAGAATACTATAACTCAGATCATGTTCCCTAGTCTATTAGGAAATGCGAGAATATTTCATTGCACTTAAAGATCCCTGTGATCCTCAACGTATTTTACTCAAAGAAGATGCTCAATACATATATGTTAAATTGAATTGAATTTGTGAATTGATTTATCAGCCTATTTCCAGGCAGCAATGGAACACACAGTTTTTGGGACTCTTTAACCTGAGAATTAATTGCCCCGTGGAAGCTAAGCTTCATTTTTATCTTAAACATACACATACTTGAATTAAGACTTTGTGGCAATGAGCTTTCATTCACTTCTTTTTCAAGGGATTTAAATGACAAACACAGCGTAAACAACTGTCCTAATTTATCCAGAACTTTTCCAGTTTTAGCATGAAAAGTCCTACTTCTCAGGAACCCCCTCAGTTCCAGACAAATTGGGATATTTGGTCATCTCAGTGTAAAGTGAACTTGCTTTTCTTGAAGATATGCTGAGATTGTCAGGGAAAGTGAAGTACCATGTTAGGATTAATTATCCTGCAACTACAGGGGACAAGGGTTGTTGTTTCTCATTTGTAACTAACACAGACTTTTTTAAAAAAAACACCAAGGTGAAGCAGAGTCTTGAGACTTATTATATACATATATAAAAACTTTCTACATATATACACATCTCTCTATATAAAATACACTTTCTTTGACTGATTTTATATATATGTATAAAATATATATCAACATATAAGAATGTTTCTATATTGGGAGGCTGAGGCGGGCAGATCACAAGGTCAGGAGATCGAGACCATCCTGGCTAAAATGGTGAAACCCCGTCTCTACTAAAAATACAAAAAATTAGCCATGCGTGGTGGCGGGCACCTGTAGTCCCAGCTACTCGGGAGGCTGAGGCAGCAGAATCGCTTGAACCGTGAGGCAGAGCTTGCAGTGAGCTGAGATCACATCACTGCACTCCAGCCTGGGTGGCAGAGCAAGACTCCGTCTCAAAAAAAAAACACAAAAGAATGTTTCTATAAAGATAAGTGTATTAATAAAGACATCTATACTTATATATTATAAATTTATTTAAGTATATGTTTATATATGTATAATTATATGTATAAAATCATTCAAAGGAAGTTTTTATAGTGCTGTCAACTGGCCTAGGGAAAAGAGATAGGGGAATGTGGAATTTCATTATAAAGTGTTTACAGTTTTAACCTTAATTTAATTTAATTTAATTTTTTACTTATTTTTAAAATTTTTGTTTTATCTTATTCTTCACAGTAATCATGAGAGATAGATACCATTAAATTATTTTAAAGACAGGAATTAGGGTTTTAAAAGCTGTGGCTTGGAAGGCATAAGTCCTTTCCAAGGATCAATACCTTTGGAGGATTTTCCATTATTTTCATATTATATAAATGATTAGAAGTCTACAAATTTGAAAATTTGCTCTTCCAGAATTTCTATTTCAGCTTTGAAATGTCAGATGTTTTGAAAGGTTGGTTTCTAACACTTGACCGATTCAGCGTTCTGCTCTGTTCTAGAATACACTTGAGCATGCGTAGTGTAGGCTAATGCACAGGGTCAGCTGAAGAGGCCTGCTGCTTCTTTACAGTTACTACCAAGGCTAAACCCTTAGAATGCTGAGAAAATCATCAGCCTGATTCAAGGGAGGGCTCTCCTGGGAATGAGTTCAATGAAAGCAAAAGAGAACTTACTATGAGAAATTTATTTAAGATTCTGACTTCAATGGAATCTCTTCTTTCTAAATGTGTTATGAAATCCAGAGAAAAATGTTGCGTAGTATTATGAATGGCTACTATTTTTGCCAGCTTACTAAAGGGACAGATACAGAACTCAGCAATTCCTTTACATGAGTAGCTTCCTGCCTCCCTTTCTCCCTCCCTCTCTCTCTTCCCTCCCCGATTCCTGCTTTCCCCACTTCCCCATTCCCTCCCTTCCTCCCTTTCTTCCTTTCTCTTTTCCTCCTTCTCTCCCTTCCTTCTTTCCTTTCTCCCTTTCTTCCTTCCTCCTTTTCTTCCTCCATCCTCCCTCCCTTTTTTCATTTCTTTCTTCCTCTCCCTCCCTCTTTCTTCCTTCTTTCCTTTCTTCCTTTTTCTCTTCCTCCCTTTCTTCCTCCTTCCCTTCTTCCTTTTCCTTCCTTCCTCCCTCCCTCCCTTCCTTCTTCCCTCTATCCCTTTCCTCCTTTCCCCCTTCCCTTCCCCTTCTCCTTCCTTCCTTCTTGCCTTCCTTCCTTCTTGCCTTCCTTCCTTCTTGCCTTCCTTCCTTCCTTCTTGCCTTCCTTCCTTCTTGCCTTCCTTCCTTCCTTCTTGCTTTCCTTTCTTCCTCCCTCCCTCCTTCTTCTTCCCTCCCTCCCTCCTTCCCTCCCTTTTTTCATTTCTCTTTCTTCCTCCCTCCCTTCCTTGTTTCCTTTCTTCCTTCTTCCTTTCCTCCCTTTCTTCCTCCTTCCCTTCTTCCTTTTCTTCCTTCCTCCCTCCCTCCTTCCCTCCCTCCCTTCCTTCCTTCCTCCCTTCTTCCATCCCTTTCCTTTCTCCCTCCTTCCCTTCCTTCTTCCTTCCCTCTCTTTCCTCCTTTCTCCCTTCTTCCCTTCCCTTTCCTTCCTTCCTTCCTTCCTCCCTCCTTCTTCCTTCCTTCCCTCCGTTTTTCATTTCTCTTTCTTCCTCCTTCCCTCCCTCTGTTCCTTTCTTGTTTCCTTTCTTCCTTCTTCCCTTCCTCCCTTTCTTCCTCCCTCCCTTATTCCTTTTATTCCTCCCTCCCTTCCTTCCTTCCCTCCCTCCCTGCCTCTCTTCCTTTCTTCCTTCTTCTCTCCCTCCCTATCTTCCTTCCTTCCTCATTCCCTACTCCCTTGCTCCTTCCAGCCCCTTCTTTCTTCCTTTTTTTTTTGTTATTTGGGAGGGTTGTGTGCCTCACATACCCCTTCTGTAATTAAAATCTACTCCCTGATTTTAGGGGGTGTGGGCATGTGATCTAGATTAGGCCAGTCAGATTCTTCAAACAGGAATTTGAATATTGACATCAGGGACAAAAAGCAACCAGTGCTGGGTCATGGGTGGCTGGGCCATGGGTGGGTGGTTTATGGAAGAGCTTCTATGCTGACCTTTGGAGCTGCCCATGTTTTTTGCCCTTCCTAAGTTCTAGTGGTCACATCGTCCATAATTTGGTGAGATATCTCAGTATCTTTCCACTACATTAATTGCTTTGCTTACCATTAGTCAGAGTTAGTTTATGTTGCTTAAACCAACTCAAATAACCTAAACTGACTAGATATCCATTATCTATCTTAGCCTCTGCACTAATCCTACATGGTAAGCATTATTTTTCACATTTTACAGATGAGAAACTGAAGCTTTGTGAGGTTAAGTAATAACTGTATGATCTTAATATGGTTAAGATCATATAGTTAAAAAGAGGCAGAGCTGGTTGGTGGTCATGTTCAACTTAACCTGATGCCTCAAAGCAATATTGCATCTACTATGCTTTAATGGCTTAAAACGGAAAGAAAATGAACAGTTGGAAAAAACATTCACAATATTTGAGACAATTAACAAAGTTTAATGGCCATAAGATATAAAGAGCCTTTAGGAATCAATAATAAAAAATTTAACATGCTAATGGCAAAAATGGGCAAAGGACATGAATATCTATTTTCAAATAATAACCAATAATTTCTCATACATATGAAAAATGTTTAACCTCACCAATAATACAAAAAAGCAAATTAAAACAATTGCATATCATTTCAACTATCTTATTCATTAAAAAAATTGTAAAACCAAGTTTTCACAAAAATTTAGTGAAAACTTTTATTATATAGGTTAAAGTAGAAAATGGTGCAAACTTTAGAGGGAAAAATTTGTTCAAATACATTTAGAGTCCCAAATTTGTTCAAAGCCTTTGATTTAGACATTTATTCTAAGAAAATAAGAATATACTGAAAGATTTATGTATAAGGACACTTATTTATAATAGCAAAAGTTGGAAGTAAACTAAATGTCTAATGATATAGAAATGAGAATAATTTGGAAAAGCTTATGATATGATGTTAAATTTTTAAAAAGCCAATATTTCACTTTCACCTTCCTCCTCCTCCTTTCCTTCCAGCCTCTGGTAACCACCATTCTACTCCCTACTTCTCTGAGTCAGCATTTTTAGATTCCACATACAAGTAAGATCATGCAGTATTTGTCTTTCTGTGCTGGCTTATTTCACTTAACGTAATGTCCTCCAGGTTCATTCATGTTATTGCAAATGATAGAATGTCCTTCTTTTTAAAGGCTGAATAGGATATCATTGTATATATACCATATATTTTTTTTTTTTTTTTTTTTTTTTGAGACGGAGTCTCATTCTGTCACCCAGGCCAGAGTGCAGTGGTGCAATCTGGGCTCGTTGCAACCTCAGCCTCCCAGGTTCAAGTGATTCTCCTGCCTCAGTCTCCCACCCCGCTCAGCTGATTTTTTATATTTTTAGTGGAGACGGCGTTTCGCCATGTTGTCCAGGCTGGTTTCAGACTCCTGACCTCAGGTGATCCGCCTGCCTCAGCCTCACAAAGTGCTGGGATTACTGGCATGAGCTACTGTGCCCACCCCCATTGTATATATGCCACATTTTATTTATCCACTCATCTGCTGATGGACTCTTAGGTTGCAGTGTCCATAGTGTTTAGTTAGAATGGGGAGAAAGTACATGAGAGAAAATCTGGAGATATTTGAACATGGTTGAATCTAATAGAAAAGAAGTTGACCATACAAGAAGACACACTCAATCAACGAAGTCCTTGACCAAACCAGAGGATGGAATCTGGAATGCCAGTGAAAGAAATGTTGATGTAGGTAGGGATGAAAGGCAGGTATAAATGTTTTTTTGGGAAGCTGAAGGAGTTACTGTCTGATAGTTTCTACTTCTCCAAGAGGTCATCTGCTAGATGATAGAGGAAAGATTGATGGTAGTGGGATGTTGGGAATACTTGAGAATCTGTGAAATTGAAGTGGAGAATGGGAAAATTTGATGATAGGGATGATAATGTTTTGGGGCAAATTTCAGGGGCCAGGTGAAGTTATTAACCATAAATTTATGGTGATTCCAGTCAGCCTGGCTGGGCAAATTCCTCTGGTAATACTTAGCAACTTGTGAGACATTCATTGAGATGTAGGATATTGAATTCATATAGGTTTGGGATTTTGTTAGGCAGGTGCAGCTAGAAGATAGTGGAGCAAGAAAGTTCCTGAAGATGAGCAAGAGAGTGGTTGATATTATTAACCACCGAATTGTAGATAAGAAAGGAAGAAAATGAAGGCTAGAAGGTGTGGAAAAGAGAAAGTAAAGTGGGAAGTGCTCCAGAGGTTTCTATAGGACTGATGACATGTGTGTTGAGAATAACTTAGGGCATAGGTGGAACAGTGGTGGTTTGTGGCCAAAGCTGCCTTATGCTTATATTAATAAGTAGCTTCAGAGATGGTGCAGTTCAACAGTTCTGAGTGATGTCAAGTATGGGAGGGTGGCTAGGTGCAGTGGCTCATGACTGTAATCCCAGCTACTCTGGGGCTGAGGAGGGAGGACCACTTGAACCCAGGAGGTCCAGCTGCAGATCACATCACTGTACTCCAGTCTGAGTGACAGAGCCAGACCCCATCTCTTAAAAAAATTTGGGAGGGTGCTATAGACTGAATGTTTGTGTTCCCCCAAAATTTATATTTTGAAATCTTAACCCCCAATATGATGGTATTAGGTGGAGGAATTTTTGGTAGGTAATTAGGTCATGAGGGTGGAGCCCTCATGAGTGGGATTAATGCCCTTATAAGAGATGCCAAGCTAGGTGCAGTGGCTGACACCTGTCATTCCAGCACTTTGGGAGGCCAAAGTGGGAGAATTGCTTGAAACCAGGAATTTGAGACAAGCCTGGGCAACATAGTGAGACCCCATCTCCACACACACACACACACACACACACACACACACACACACAGACACACACACACACACATACATATACACGCACACTTAGCCAGATGCAGTGGATTGCGCCTGTAGTCCCAGCTACTCAGGAGGCTAAGGTGGGAGGGTCACCTGAGCCTGGGAGGTTGAGTCTTCAGTGACCTATGACCGTGCCACTGCAGTACAGCCTGGGTGACAAAGTGAAACTCTGACTCTAGGAAAAATAAAAAAAGAAAAAAAAAAGAAAAAAAAAAGAAAAAGAAAGATACCCTGGAGAATCCTTTGCTTCTTCTGACATGTGAGGAACACAGTGAGAACATTGTGAACAAAAGCAGGCTCTCACCAGACATCAAAACTGCTGGTGATTTGATCCCAGACTCCCAACCTCCAAAACTGTGAGAAATATTTTTTTCTTATTTATAATCCATGCAGATTATAGTATTTTGTTATGGCAGCCAAAATGGACTGAGACAGAGGAGGTAGCCAAAGTGAAGTGGAAGAGGAAGTTTCTGAAGCCATGAAGTGAGACTGGCTATGAAGATAATAAAGTCACTCAGAATTTAGGATGAAGAGAAAAACTGCAAGCCAGTTACCAAAGAAGTCAGTGAATACAGCCAATATAGTGAAAAAAATGTTGAAATTTGAGTCTGGAGTTCTGGACTATAAATTCTCCAATCACATTCAGTACTGCCTTGATCTTCCTATATTTACCACCTTGAATTATATGATAATAATTTTTAGAGTTTCTCCTTTAACTGATTATAAGCTCCTTTGGGTTCAAAGGTGGTGCCTTGTTTATTGTGTATAACTCAGATTACTTGATGCCAGATGTGCAATACATTTTATCTTGGTTAGATGAATAGAAGAAAATTAAACAAATAGGTGCCATTTTGGAGGATAGAGAGGACATTCCTATTTCCCTGATTGGAGTTTTAGACTATGACAGACCTTGTTCTCCTCCTCTCCTTAATTCCAGTGTAATCAGTTAGGCACATATGTTTAAAAAACTAGAACATTTACAGCTTTGATGAAATTGAATAAAAGTAAAAAAGGCCTTCCTCTTATTTACCTTTGATTCCTTGCTTCTCATTTGCTCTGCCACCTCTCAGCATTGTAACTCAGTTTCTTAGTATCAAGTATAAAGCTGCGAAACAGAATTTAGGGCGACTCAGATTTTAAAAGTCTCATCTTGGATTCAGTGTTCATTCCCCTCAAAAGCCAAGAGGTGGCTAAGAGAGAACAAAATCAGTAAAGAGAAACATTAAAGTCTGCTTCATCTGAATTTTGTTTTACAATGCATCCATCTTCAAAGTTTGTCCATGTGATGATTAAGCTTTTTAAGGACAAAAATTGTTTTTCCATATGGTCTGATTGGTCATTTCCTTAGCATCTTTGCTCATTTAACAAAAGCGATATTAATGCTCTGTACTTAAGAAAATTGTGAAATGGAGAATGACACAGACACACACACACACACACACACACACACACACACATCAATCATATGAGGTCTTATAACATTTGTAAATATGAGTTTTCTTCCTTAAATTTGAATGCTAGAGACAAAAAGAAAGATGAAGATGGAGTAAACTGAGTGAAGGAAAGGCAACACATTGTGGCCTAAAGATACAACCAGGGCTTGATTTCTATTGGATGAATTGTGTTCGTACTTGACATAGTCTCATACTCCTTTTTGGGATAAAAGAGTAAGTTGGCTTTGACAACCGTCACCACATTGGTCTCTGAGGATGACCTTTCTGGACAGGGGAATGTGCCTCTCTTTCTTTGCTATTCATGTGTGTACCTCCTGAAGCTGCATGTTCTATTGAAGAGGATAGCCTTTAATTCAATGTTTAGTTCAGTGCATACAAATATCTCAACACACCAGTCAATATTTCTCATACCTTCCTCTATCTACTAGTACCTCTGCCCTCCCTTCTCCCGGGTTTTCAGGATTCCTTTGTAAACTTTTGGCTGCCCGAATTCCAGTGTTTGGATGCTTCATGAAGTCTTTCTCTTCTCCAGCATGATCCATGCTTTGCATGTAATTATCTCTTTCCCTTCCAAGCCCTCCCTTAAAATTTCCCTTTTCTTGTGATCAATGAATTGATATATGTTAAGTACTTGCTCTGGATTATCAGTTTGGCTCCAATGCTTAAAGAACTTATTCTTTTGAGTCAGAGTTTACTTGCATAAACAATCACAAAAAAGCAGTTGTGGGTCAAATTACATCACCCATAGAAGTAATTTTTTACAGAAAAAAGAAGTCAATATGGGCTAATGCAGTTAAGAGAAAGTTTAATGGAATCCAAATGCACAAGTATCTGGAGATAAAGGGTTAATGTTTTATTTCCCTACTGAATAAGTTATTGGAATAGTTAGAACTTAGTGAAATTAATATTTATGCACTGCAGGGAGGTATTAAGTTGGTGCAAAAGTAATTGTGATTTTTGCCATTAAAAGTAACGACAAAACTGGCAATTACTTTTGCACCAAACCTGGTATTTTTGATCATAGCTACATATGCCCTTCAAATATCACTTAGCTTCCTAAATGGTGCAATTTCCTTCTGTTAGCTGAAGTGCTACAACCCTCAGTCTCTTCCGATTTATGGGGGCACTATGCAGAAGCTAAGAGCTAACATGAACACTGGGGTCTCTATGAGGGTTGACTGAGATGAAGATGATTCTGACGATGCCATCCTGACCTGAGTCTTTGGATGCCTTGTGTCTGGAATTTGGGAAGGGGCTATGGGCTAACGCTTTCAAATGCTTGAAGCTTCTCTGATTTTAGTAGTTTTTCAGTGACATGAAGAAACAGACTTTCTTTCTACAAACCATTTTCCAAGAGTTAGACCGGATACTTCTGTTCCCTCTGGCAGACCAGTTATCCTGCCACTCTCTCTCTCTCTGTGTTTTTTAACTTAAATTTGATTTTTGAAGGATTTAATCTCATTCCCTATCACAACATTGTTTTTCATAACAGCAGGAAGAAATTTGATAAACCATTCTAGTTTCTTACATTTGTGAATTTAGTTCCCACTTCGTCAAAATGGGCTCCTGTCGAGAGAGGAAACCAGATGCACGAGGTTGTTGGAGTCTTAAATGTCTCTCCAGCTTCTTGAAGCAATTGCATTAAAAATCTTAATAAATATAGTTGCTGACTTTCTTGCTCCCTCTGTGTTCCTGCTGCAGTTATACTATTTACACTTGAGTTTTTGCCACAGCTGGTTCGAATTCAATGATTGTCTGCTCCACTCTGCCTGTTTTAAGTTATTATCTCCCTCAAGGTTTCTCTTCCATGCATGGAGCTTCTTGTAATTCCTTTCTTTGATTGAAAAGAGATGGAGTGGTGTAGCAAGAAGAGTATTGGTGTTGGTCCCAGAGATGCTCAGGGTTTGCATCCTACTTCTGGCATTTACTTGATGCATGATCTTGAGTATTTTCACTTTTTTGACACTCATTATACTTACCTTGAAGAGTTGTTAGGATCATATAAAATAACCCATGCAACAGCATCTCCCACAACGACTTGCATAGAGGAGCATTTACTCTGACTATTTCTTACACTTATCTTCATGAATTTGGCTATAATCAAGAAACAGAAATTTTGTATTCAGAGGGGGACTATTCTAAACCTAGTGTTGTATTCCATTTGCACCATATACAGGCTGTTATTTATTTTTCATTCTGATTTTTTAGTTATCAATATTCCTATAGTATTAATATTAGTACTTTATATTGATATAGTACTTGAGGCTTATAATGTGCTCTTGTGTTTTTGTGTATCTTCATGTGCTTTTGTATCGTGCAACATACACAGCCTGAAATACATCTTGTTGGTTCATCATTCTCTATGGGGTATTACATACATGGTCTGCTTATTCTGAGCACCATAATCATAACTGCAGAGTTTACTTGGTTAAGAAAGTCAATTATAACAGAAGTGGAGCTCTTTAAACTGGAACTCCATGAAGACAACTGAACACATCTCTTGAGCTCCAAGGAAACGTGGTAGTGGCCTAGTCTGAATTGTGCCACTTCTCCTCTTGGAAATTATACAGAACAATAAATCAAATTTTAAATATCTACAAATTCCATTTTCAGTGAAACTAGGAGACCCAGAATATTCTCGAACTACAAATTATGTGTACATGCTGCCCCAAACACCTGAGGCCAATGGAGGCTGGCAAAAAGCTGCATGGTAAATGGTGATGGACAATGGAAAGGAGGTGAGGATGCAGCAGCTGTGGTGGGAGTCTCAGAAAACACAGCAGTGTTCACTTCCAGAGCAGAGGGCCCCATCTGGGGTGGCAGCTCCCGTGAACAGAGATGAAATCAGAGTGACCAACTCTTCCTAGTTGCCTGGAACTTTACTGGTTTTAGCACTGAAAGTCCTATGTCCTAGGAACCTCCCCAAACCTGGGCAAACTGGGACGCAGCTCACCCCAGATGAACTGGAACAGAGTGGGCCACCAAAGGGAGATGGCAAAGGCCTGGGACCGCACGGGTGGCAGAGTATAAAAAGTACAAGTGAAAATAGATCAACAAAAAGTGAGGATACTCCCGTGGAAGGTAAGAGATGTGTTCCAGGTGGCAGTGGCTTATAAAGATACTGTGATGTCACATGGGAAGAAGCCATTCTGAGCCTTTTAAAATTTTTTCTGTCTTTTAAAAAATTTCCAATTTTTAATTCTTATGGGTATATAGTAGGAGTATGTATTTATGGGGTACATGAAATATTTTGATACAGGCATGCAATGTGTAATAATCACATCATGGAGAATGGGGTATTCATCTACTGAAGCATTTATGCTTTGTGTTACGAACAATCCAATTATACTCTTTTAGTTATTGGAAGGGGAACATCACACTCTGGGGACTGTTGTGGGGTGGGGGGAGGGGGGAGGGATAGCATTAGGAGATATATCTAATGCTAAATGATGAGTTAATGGGTGCAGCACACCAACATGGCACATGTATACATATGTAACTAACCTGCATATTGTGCACATGTACCCTAAAACTTAAAGTATAATAATAATAAAATAAATAAGTAAAATGTAGTTACTATTGACTATAGTTACCCTTTTGTGCTGTAAAATAGTAGGTCTTATTCATTCTTCCTATTTTTTTGTACCCATTAACCATATCTACTTCCCTCTCAACCACCCACTACCCTTACCAACCTCTGGTAACCATCCTTCTACTTTCTATGTCCATGAGTTCAACTGTTCTGACTGTTAGAGCCCACAAATAAGTGAGAACATGCGATGTTTGTCTTTCTGTGCCTGGTTTATTTCACTTAACATAATGATCTCCAGTTCCATCCATGTTGTGGCAAATGACAGGATCTCATTCTTTTTCATGGCTAAACAGTACTCCATTGTGTATATGTACCATATTTTCTTTATCCATTCATCCATTGATGAACACACGTTGCTTCCAAATCTTGGCTATTGTGGACAGTACTGCAAGAAACATGGGAGTGCAGATATCTCTTCGATATACTGATTTCCTTTCTTTTGGGTATATATTCAGCAGTGGGATTGCTGGATTATATGGTAGCTCAATTTTTGGTTTTCTGAAGAACCTCTAAACTGTTCTCCATAGTGGTTTGACTAATTTATATTCCCATCAACAGCGTACAAGTGTTTTCTTTTCTCCACATTCCACCAGCATTTGTTATTGCCTGCCTTTTGGATATAAGCCATTTTAACTGGGGTGAGATGACATCTCATTGTAGTTTTGTTTTGCATTTCTCTGATGGTCAATGATGTTGAGCACTTTTTCATATGCCTGTTTGCCATTTGTATGTCTTCTTTTGAGGAATGTCTATTCAAATCTTTTGCCTATTTTTGGATGGGATTATTAGATTTTTTTTCCTATAGAATTGTTTGAGCTCTAAACTATAGAGCAGTTTGCAAATATTTTCTCCCATCCTTTGGGTTGGCTTTTCACTTTGTTGATTGTTTCCTTTGCTGTGCAGAAGCTTTTTAACTTGATGTAATCCCATTTGACCATTTTTGCTTTGGTTGCCTGTGCAACCAAACTAATGTCCTGGAGATTTTCCTCAAATTTTTTTTGTAGTGGTTTCATAGTCTGAGGCCTTAGTTTTAAGTCCTTAATCCACTTTGATTTGATTTTTGTTCACAGCGAGAGATAGGGGTCTAGTGTTTATTCTTCTACATGTAGATATTCAGCTTTCCCAGCATCATTTCATGAAGAGACTGTTTTCTCCCCAGTGTATATGTTCTTGGCACCTTTGTCCAAAATGAGTTCACTGTAGGTGTGTGGATTTGATTCTGGGTTCTCTATTCTGTTCCATTGGTCTCTGTGTTTTTATGCCAGTATATGCTGTTTTGGTGACTATAGGTGTGTAGTATAATTTGAAGTCAGCTAATGTGATTCCTCCAGCTTTGTTCTTTTGAGCATTAAAGGCAAAGAAAATGTGGTTGCACAGAGGCATCATTTTTAAAGGAAATAGTCTGTTGTAACAGAGGAGGATGCCCATTATCTGTGAAGCTTAGAACACTGGATGTCCTCAGTCCTTCCCTTCTGTGCACTAGAATTCTTTGTCTAGCTGGTTAAGGAAAATAAAACTCATTCAAATATGAGTAAACAAAAAAGAGCTGGCATAGCATTTATACAGAGATCTATTAAATTGTGGAAAACAATAGAAAAACGTTCCTATAGAAGAACGAAATGCACCAGAAAGCTATTGCCAAGATGCAGATAAAACTTGTAACTTAACATCCCATGAATTAAAAATAAAAAACTTAATGGAGTAATAACTGTTATTATTATTTTTAAATTAAATTAAATGTAATTTAATTTTAAGTTCCGGGATACCTGTGCAGGACATGCAGGTTTGTTACATAGGTAAATGTGTGCCATAGTGGTTTTCTGCACCTGTCAACCCATCACCTAGGTATTAAGCCCCACATGCATTAACTATTTATCCTGATGCTCTCTCCCCAACCCGCCCCACAGACAGGCCCCAGTGTGTGTTGTTCCTCTCCTTGTGTCCATGTGTTCTCATTGTTCAGCTCCCACTTATAAGTGAGAACATGCAGTGTTTGGTTTTCTGTCCCTGTGTTAGTTTGCTGACGATAATGGCTTTCAGCTTCATCCATGTCCCTGCAAAGAACATGATCTCATTCCTTTTTATGGCTGTATAGTATTCCATGGTGTATATGTACCACATTTTCTTGATCCAGTCTATCATTGATGAGCATTTGGGTGGATTACGTGTCTTTGCTATTGTGACTAGTGTGGCAGTGAACATATGTGTGCATGTATCTTTATAATAAAATGATTTATATTCCTTTGGGTATATACCTAGTAATGGGATTGCTGGGTCAAATAGTATTTTTGGTTCTAGGTCTTTGAGGAATTGCCATACAATAACAGTTATTTTAATGAAAGTATACAAAGCAGAAATATGAGGACTCAGGGCTGGACAACAGAAAATGAGGAACAAATTAAAGGAGAAGGTAAAATGGGATTTGGTAGAAACCATGAAAGAAATAAAAGTACAAATCAAAATTATTTCAG
This sequence comes from Homo sapiens, assembly GCF_000001405.40. NCBI lineage: Eukaryota > Metazoa > Chordata > Mammalia > Primates > Hominidae > Homo > Homo sapiens. Next base: position 18,576,931 of record NC_000006.12, read on the forward strand.
AAGTAAAGACTAATAAATTAGATTCAGCACAAGGAAGAGTAGACACCATTGAAAGTACAGTGAGGGACAAAGGAGGTAGACATGAAATGAACGAGAAATACAGAGATAAAGAGGATTAGAGTCAAAATTATAGGAATAAAGTACGAGCAAAGGAGATCAAATACATTCACATAGAGTCTACCAAGAGAAAACCGAAACAAAAAAACAGAACAAATATTTAAAAATACAATATTTAAAAATACAATTCAAGAAAACTTTTCAAATATAAAATAAGGCATGAATCTACGTATTTAAAGAGCTTATAATGGACCAGAAAATTGCTCTAGAGAAGTCAAGACAAATCCTAAAATGATTAGAATAAAGAATGAATATTTTGAATGAGCCTGTAAAAATATCAAGTCACTTATGATGGGATGAAGTTGGGCAGGAGTCGGACTTCTTTAAAGATATGAATCTACCCTTAGAAGATTTTTTTTTTTAAAGAATGAGCCAAAGATTTTATATGTGGTTAAAATATCTTTTACATCTGAAAGATTCTAGAAAAACAGATTTCAATGTGCAAGAACACAGGAGACATTATTCATGTCAGCCCATTTTGAGGAAATGATTAGAGGAGGAACTCCCGCCAACCAAGCAACGGCTGGGGAAATGTCAGTGAAACTGGCAGTGAGAATTAAGGCAGTAGATTTAAGTCCCAAAGCAAAGAAGGGGAAAATCCAAGGGGCAAAGTCTGAAAGCAGTGAAGGGAGTAAGCCCCAGCATATATCTGAAAGGGCCAAACCTTGATTGGCAATGACATGCCTCCTTCATTGGACAAAAGGAAGTAGGAAAAGCTGATTAGATGAAGGAAGACAGTTTCTATTTTCTCTGTGATGTAAAGGTTAAGTCTGTTCACCAAAATAAGGGGCTAGGACTGGGGTAAGGGTCAGCAATGTAAAGAAAAAAAATGTGTGGAAGAGAGTGAGAGATCAAGCTTCCAGAGAATTATAGTAGAAATATGTATAAGCAGACTTTGTTGCTTAAAGAAAATCTGCAATGAATCTCTTAGTTATAGCATACTATTTATTATGAGGTATTTGAATTTATTTATCCTGTAAATTGGATGTTGAATAGTGTGCAGAAGTTTGAAGTAGAATTGTATGTTATTTTGCATCTGTTGATATATTTCTTTCCATTTTTAAGTGCAAATCCATTCACTTAGTTTCATTTTTCTACTGTATTACAATGCACTGAGGATAAGGGATATCTTTTCATGGCACCCAACTCAGTACTCTGGTCACTTCATGTGTTCATTCAATAAATATTTGGTAAATTAATAAATGAAACACAACTATAATATTTCATTCTGCTTAATATTTATTTTCTAACACTCGTCTTTAAAGATCCACATGAAATTAGTCTTACTTTTAATAATAATTTAATTTTCAGGCTCCGAGAAAGTAATATATAAACTTGAAATTCCTGGTGAAGGTTAGAATAAAAATTGCAATGAAATTATAAATGTTAAGCTGCATAAGCTTCTCACTTGATTCATTTGATGGATTAAGGTATATATATGTCTCAATATCCCTCGTCTGGTTTTTTTTGTTTGTTTGTTTGTTTTGACAAGAGTCTCACTCTGTTGCCCAGGCTGGAGTGCAGAGTGCAATCTCAGCTTACTGCAACATTTGCCTCCCAGGTTCAAGTGATTCTCATGCCTCAGCCTACCAAGTATCTGGGACTACAGGCACATGCTACCTTGCTCGGCTAATTTTTGTATGTTTAGTAAAGGAGGGGGTTTTGCCATGTTGGCCAGGCTGGACTCGAACTCCTGACCTCAAGTGATCCGCCCACCTCGGCCTCCCTAAGTGCTGGGATTACAGGCACGAGCCAGCACACTTGGCCTGAATTTTTAAATAAAACAAAAAGTCATGTATGGACTTTATATACAAAAAGTATATGAAGCACTGTGTTCATATAAGAATTGTTCCAGATAAGCCAGCCAGGGAGGGATTCAGTAGCAGCTACGAATTAAAAAAGGCCATTTGCCTGGTAATTTCAGGATGGTTAAACAATCAAGCACCACACAACTGTAGGACTACACTATCCAAGGGTGAGAATAAGAATTATTTTCTCTGGGACCTTTAGATGAACTAAGATTGAATTGTTTGCTTACTGGTGTGGGCAAAGCATTTCCAAGTCTTCTTTTCTAGTTTCCCACAGACCCGAAGAAGATTTTCCAAAGATATTCTCTCAATCCAATTGCAATCAAGCCAACATATACTAGACGCTGTTTTTCTTACAAAATTTGTAATATACATTTTATTTTGTTGTTAATTTACTTTGAAAATGTAATTATTCAATAAAGCACACTGTTCACAATTTTGTGTGAAACAGAAAACACTTGAGGATTAGGCAACATCAAAGATAATTTATAGCTACCAAATTATTGCTTACATAAGCAAAAGGAAGGCTGAGATGGTGAAAAGTAAGCCATACGGGGAAGAACTGAAGAAAGTGTGGCTATGCATTGTGTAATTTATGTCTTTAATGAGGAAAATTTCAGAATGATAATTGAGAACATCTATAACAATAGCTATGGCTTGGTATGAAAGGATTCCACAGCTCAAGAGAAAAGGATGGTCTGATTCAACATGAGACAGCCCTTTCACCTTGACATCTTGTTATCTGACTCTTTAAGAAGAGCCCCAGATCTACTATCCACAGCTTTAATCACTGCATGTTTTGAGGAACAAGACTGTGCTATAGTTGAAAGAGAATACACTTTGGAACCAAGAAGAATGGGGTCCCAATCTTCACTGCAGTATATACTAAACATGAGCCCAGAATTTGACAATACCTTCTCTGCAGAAGTGTTATTTAATATTACCAATAATGTGAGCAAAGCACTTAGCAGAGTACTGGGCACATAGGAAGTCTGGGATGAATGATAACTACTATTATTACTCTTTCATGGAGAGAAATTTTATTAGGGTTAAAAAAAATCTCAGAGTAACTAAACATCCACAAATCTCAAACAGCCATCTGTTTTGAGCAACATTCATATTATGAAACTCCAACTCACTGAAATGATTTAGATACCCTCTTAAAACTCACCATAATGAGATTTGGCCTGCACCAGAGAAAAGTCGTTAATGACCTAATTGTGAAATCTGATGGCCTGTTTTCAGTCATCTTTTTATTTATCTCCTCTGTGGCACATAATGCTATTGACTATTCTTAATTCATTCATTTGGATTCCTTAACAATGCTCTCTCCTGGTTTTTCTCTGATTTCAGGCTCCTTTCCTGGGGCTAAGATTTCACAGAGGACTTTTCTCCACTTCCTGATCTCATTTTCTGTGAAGACTTCACTTAAGTTTGCTGGGCAGAGTCAACACAGTTCAACAAACTTTTATTCAGTAGCTACTACATCCTTGCCTTTCTTTTAGGTATTGGAGTAACAATGACAAATGAGACTGGAGTGATGCAGACTTCCTATGCTCAGCCATATTGAATTCTTCTCTCCTTCCTGAACACACTGGAAGGTTATGCCTCTCAGCCCCTTGCAGGAGATGAGGCCATGCAGCCAGTTCTAGCATGAAATGTGAATGCAATGATGTGAATGCAAATCCTGTGCAGAGGTATTAAGAGCCACGGTGCTGCTTTCTCACTCTCTCGCTCATGGCACCGTGACTGCAGAAATGATGTGTTGAGCTGACAGTGTCACAGTGTGGAGGGAGCCTGGACCTAGGATTGCCAGATGGAGGGAATTCCTACCGACTTGCATCCAATTTTGCATGATTGAAAAATAACTTGCACTAAGCTGCTGAAATTCAGTTTATTACCACACTCTATTCTACCCTATCTGCTCCTAAACTGCTAAAATACAACATACTTGGAGGAGATGTGTATATGTGTATAAGCAGATACTACCAAGAAAAAGTGCTAAAGGCTATCACAGAGTGATCACAGTATATTTTTGGAACATTGAGAAGGGGCAGTGAGCTCATTCTGAGGGAGAGTGTTTAGGGAAGATGTGACTTCTTGGTTCTAACTCATCTCTTTCTTCTCATTTTCCCATCCCTGAACCCAACTTAGAGCAGGTGTCAGGGGAGGGAGGGCCACTCTGGGCAGCAGTTTGCCTAGATTATTATGAGCCAGAAACCTAAGCCTGAGCATCCATTTTTTCTCAGTGCAGGTTCCTGTTACTTGAGGTTTTCTTACAGCCATGATGACTGAAAAAACCAGATGAGATAGTGAGGATATGGAGCTTCATGACTTTTTACTTAGCACTGCCCAGACCAAAGTCAGCCAGAGAAACAACATCGAGCTGAATCTGAAAGCTCTCTTGAATACACAGTCTTTATGGATGGCTTATTCTTTTAATTTGTTTCTGCATTCTTCATCTGTGTTCCTAATACCTCACAAATTTCCTTCCAGATCTTCCCCTGTGGTAGAGCTAATTGGAAAATGTGCAACTTATAGCTATCCTGTATTCATTTACATGGATTTTTTTCTTGTTGTAATGCCATCACTATAAGGTTTGGATCCTATTGCCAGGGAAAATCTTAGTTTAAGCCCTAACCTAATTTATACCTCATTCTATAGTAATGATTTTTCTCTTTGTTCTCATTCTCTTTTTCTCTCCTCAAGGTGTTTCCTTCCTTCCTTCCTCCCTCCCTCCCTCCCCCACTTCTCTCTCTCTCTTTCTTTCTTTCTTTCTTTCTTTCTTTCTTTCTTTCTTTCTTTCTTTCTTTCTTTCTCTTTCTTTCTTTTTCTTTCTTCTTTTTCTTGGTCTCACTCTCTCACCCAGACCGGACTGCAGTGACACAATCTCAGCTTACCACAACCTCTGCCTCCCAGGCTCAAGCTATTCTCCTGCCTCAGCCTCCCAAGTAGCTGGGATTACAGGTGCATGCCACTACTGCCTGGCTAATTTTTGTATTTTTAGTAGAGACAGGGTTTCACCATATTGGCCAGGCGGGTCTTGAACTCCTGACCTCAAATGATCTACCCACCTCTGCCTCCCAAATTGTTGGGATTACAGGCATGAGCCACTGGGCCTGGCCTGTTCTCTAGTTTCTACTGGATTTATTAGTGAAACTCTTCAGTGCCTTCCCCACTTCCTAAAGCTACAGGTTATATGGGTGAGGGGACACTTGAGATGAATATGGAAGACCTAGTATTATTTAGCCAGGTGAACAAGAGTTAAAATATCAATTCAGACAGAGCATGGGCATGAAATACTATGGAGGTATTAACCCTTTCTTCCACTTAGAAAAAAAATAGTGCATCTCATTGCCAGCTCTCATTTAATTTTACATAAACACACTCTTTGAGGCTGAAGCAAATCTGACTGATTTTCAATGTAAAAATAAAATATAAAAACTGTTCTTAAAGTTATTTCTAAACAGAACAAACATCAGAATCGTCTGAATCATTGGGATCGTCTATTTCGGAAAAATCGGATTCATCAAATGAATATTCGGCCAACGACCGCTTGAGAACGATGTTAACATCACGTGTAGGAATGTTACGTTTTCTAGGAGTTGACATTTTCAGCGATCGAAAATTACTATATTTTGTAATGGAAATACTACTACTAAAACCAGAATGCTGTAAATAGAATGATGTCTTTTGTTGCCAAAGTCAATATACTAGAGTGATGTGAAAATAATAATAAAGGTGAGATAGTTCATGGCAAAGTTATCTTGGAGTAAATGCTGCAGCTGCCATACTGCCAGTGACTCTGGGACCATGGGGAAAGTAAGGGAAATACAGGTAATTTGATATGGAGAGAGTGTGTATTTGGACTGGAGGTGTCTTAAGGCCTCACTCCTGGGTGCTGGGGCTGGTTTCCTTGGCTGTTGGTTGAGTTACAACGTGGAATAGAATTGTAAGGGTTTCTAAGAATTAGTGTAGGATGTTCATTCCCAAAGCAAACACAAAATCCAAGAACTGGGGGATTAATCTAAGTCAAAGTCAGTTAGAAGAAAGTCTAGATTTAACAGAAAGATAGACTCTAGACACCAGACTCAGAAGGCCTGAAGTGGGATCAGGTTGGAGTCATAGAGCCAGGGGAAGAGGAGATTGGAGCAGAGTCAGGTATGGATCAGGTAAGAGGGCTGGGGTTCATCCAGAGAGAGAGCTCTAGAACCCAATGGGTATTTGTGTCTTGTCTTTATGAACTGGTGGATTCAAAAAGGGACCATGGTGGCTGGATGTGGTGGTTCACACCTGTAATCCCAGCACTTTGGGAGGCCAAGGCGGGTGGATCACCTGAAGTCAGGAGTTCAAGACCAGGCTGGCCAACATGCTGAAACCCTGTCTCTACTAAAAATATAAAAATTAGCTGGGCATGGTGGCACTCACCTGTAATCCCAGCTACTCGGGAGGCTGAGGCACAAGACTTGCTTGAACCCAGGAGGTGGAGGTTGCAGTGAGTCCAGATAGTGCCACTGCACTCCAGCTTGGGCGACAGAGTGAGACTCTGTCTCACAAAAAAAAAAAAAAAAAAAAAAAAAAAAAGGACCATGGTGGGATTAGGTTGGGTTACTGGCCTAGGGCAGGGATATAGGAGATAAGACTGGTAAGAGAGCTAAAGATCACACCATGGAGAAGTTTTGGCTAAGGGACTTACAACTTATTTTATAGGCCATGCATATAGAGTAAGTAAAGGATCTTAAACAGGAATGAGGAATGGTCTGATTTACATGGATGGTGGCCTTCAAGTGAGTGTAGGGAGACTGGACTGGAGGAGAATGAGACAGGAGGCAGGACAGTCCACTGGAGAAGAGGCCACTGCAGTTGTGTAGGTGAGAGAAGAGGGAGCCAGCCCAGGGCCGGTGGTGGGATAATGAGCATTGAACATTTACTGGAGGGCGGGGAAATTGATGGTACTGATATGTACCCCCGAGGGTGGGGTAGATTCAAAAGCATCTTTGTCTTGTTGTATGTATGATGTGAAGGGAAAGCCGACTAATAGATTTCTAGGTGGTTGGTGTTATCAGCAGCAGAGGCAGAGAGGTCCAAGGGGGAGAAGTTTTCCTGAGGAACATGTTGAGTTTAGCTTTGGACATGATACTTTTGTGGCTCCCACAGGATAGCGAGGTGCAGAGATTGGCAGATCATTGGAACTGCAAGTCAAAAACGACAGTAGGGGAGAACACAGAGATACTGATTTGATGATGCTGTCAGAGAAGAGATGCTCTAATCCAGAGAGAACATAGTAAAAACAGGGTAAAGATGAATCCCAGAGGAGAGTGTTTAGTGTTATTAACCCGGATTTTAGGTTAAAGATATGAGAGAAAACATCTGGAAAGAAGGAGAGGCAATGGCACCAAGGGCCAGAATGGATGAATTGGTCTTGAATGAGAGAGGAAGCACCTTCATCTACTTGGTTTACAGAAACAGGTATATACTTTAATAGGTGCTGGGTCAAAATGTTGAGGGAACTCATCACATAAGTAAGAAATGTTGTTTTTTACCATTCACTAAAATAGGGGTAAGCAAACTATTTTTCTGAAAAGCTGGATAGCCAATAGTTTAGGCTTTGTGGGCCCTAGAGTCTCTGTCACAACTTACTATTCTCGTTATAGCATAAAAGCAGCCATATACGTTAAACAAATGGTGTGTTCTAATAAAACTTTATTTAAAACAGGTGGTGGGCTGAATTTAGCCTGTAAGCCAAAGTGTGTTGACCCCTGTATAAGAGGGTTGAGACCTGGGCTGAAGGTTTGAAGTGAGTGTCAGAGGTTTGGCTTTGTCTTTGCAAAAAAATGGGAGAGGGTGAGTGCCAATCAGAGATAAGGAAGAGGATAAGGTGGAACGGCCGAGTGACATTAGAAAGGATGGGTGGGCTGGGACTCCATTTACATTGTTTGCTAGTCTCCAGTGATCCAGAGTTACTCCCTCTCTGCAATCCCAGAGCATTGCTTATATTTCTGGCTAATCAGGGGTGTCCCTCCCCCTAAACTGTGGGCATTTTGAGAGCAAGGTCCTTGTTTTATGCATTTTTTAAATAGCCTGATTTTCCTCATTTTCCAGCTTAAAGATCACTTTCTTTAACTGTAGACATTTGTCCCTCACTTCCCTGGGACACAGTGAGAGCCATTTCCCAAACCTGGACTGCAAATGCCAGGCCTCTCTCACTTCATGTTGAGTCCACCCAGGCTTGTGTCACCCTTTGAGGGCTGGTGACTAATGTGGTGACTGTTAGCCAGTCAGAGAAGCTGAAGTCATGTAGCAATTACGGCTCTACACACACACACACACCCCCACTGTTTTATCTGTCCCCCTTTATCTCCCCCCATCTTCCTGTCATTGGAACAAAAAAATTTTCTGACTTCACATGGCCAGCACAGCTGTCCAACTGACTGAACACACAGAAGCAAATGAAGTCAGTGGAAGAATGAGTCACCACACAGCAGTGTCTTTTACACTCGCCTCCACCCTCCCCCACCTGCTCCTGACTTGGGATTGACTGCTCCGGAACTAGCACTTCACCCCCTCTCCAAGGGCAATGTGCACGGAAGAGCCCTTTTGAGAGAGGAAGTAACTCACTTGGCAAATTTGTTGTTCATTCCTGGTCCACCTAGTTCAGTAACATCATTAAGATCCAATGAGGAGATAGTGGGGCTTAAGGGGCATAGACAATTGAGCAGCCTAGTGGTGTTTAAATATTTTCTAGAAAAAAGACAAACAGTATACAATTTAAGAACCACATCCATACATTTAGTTATAGCCTGATAATGTTTCTTGAGTCATCACACGGAGTGAATCTATAACCAGGAAAACACATAGGAACCAACGCTAATCTTATTCCTGAAGTTGTCCGTATGAATTCATGAGAAGTCCTGAAAGTAAGCATCTTGCAGGGCAAATGGCACTGCCTGATCCTCTAAGCTGAGGTTGGTAGTTTTCATCATGATGGTTTTATTTGGATCAGTGTTGGCATGGATTTAAAATTTATGAGTCTAGATCTTCAATAATAATAATATCAATGATATGATTAACAAGCAATTTCTTTTCTTGCTGCGATCCCTGTTTTTCTGTTGTGAATTTCTCCTATCTTGAGGATGATGTGATCACAAAATGGGAACCTTAGACTGGTTGATATTTGTCTTATTCTCATGTCGACTACATTTTCTGCTTTTTTGTGCCATTGGTCAACCATCTAATCATAGCCCTTGGATCTTCCTCTTTCAAAGTTCTCTTTCCTCTTCTTTGTAATAGACCTCCCAGGGGACTGTGCTTGGATTCTCAGGCCAAGGAGGAGAGAAATAGACAAGACTGAAGCTGGAGGAGCAGCTGCTGGTTCACCCGCTGCCAAGACTTGGCAGCAGGTTCCTGGGGAAGCAGTAGGCACCTGGTTCACACAGGACCAGCACAGCTGGTCCAGCTTTTGACTGGCAGAGCGTGGCTTCCTTCGTCACCAAAGTGACTGGCCCTGTGATTTTGCTACAGCCTGCCGAAACCGAGAGGGACACAGTGAAAGCCGTACACCTCCGCGAAGCAGGTGCAAGTCACATTTCACTAATGAACAATGGGCACTTTGCACACAGGAGGCTTTGATCTGAATGCTAAAAAGCCCTTCTGTTGGACAGGCTGTTGGCTGAGGTAGGCAGCAGTGAGAAGCATTGGGAAGGATTCTCTATCCAAGAAAGTTGGTGCAAGAGCTGTCATCAAATAATACTTGCAGAGGCAAACACTCTCATTCTCAGGAATTTCCTTGGAGGAAAGCAATGTGTTTATGGGGGTAAAATGTTCATGAAACCATAGATCCCCATGATTGACAGATATAGTCCAGACCTCCATTTATGCCCCTACCACCCATGACCACCATATCAGTACGATCTCTTTGCCTACCCCATGCTTAAATATTTCTGATAAACATGGATCCTGGTAATTCTATTAGTCCATCAATCAATGGATTCTATATTTGGACCATCCCCCAAATGAATAAAATATTTCTTCCATATTAAACTTAAGTCTGTCTTCTACCTATTAGTTTTAGTTTTGTCTCATGGAGTGATACGGGACAATTCATCTTGAGAAAGAGGGCATCCATTTGGGAGCCTTTCAGGTATTTGAAAGCCACTCTCGTGTCTTCCAGCAAATGTTAATAGGGTATCTTTTAATAAAAGAACAAAAGTAAATACATTTATAAATAGAAATAAAATAAGATAAATGGGTACTTTTATGTACTAAATGGTACCTTTCCCCTCCACAGTGATTTCAAAGGCTCCATCCAAATATATTGTCTCCTCCCCTAAAAAAATCAGCATAATTGCAGGCTTTTTACAATGCAAAAGATCTTAGAGATCATCTTGTCTAAGCCTTCATTTCACAGATGGGGACCCAGAGGCTTATCAAGGTGACAGTAATTTAGAGTTGAGACAAGAGGCCAAGCCAGCATAGGGGTTGTTTCTGTAGGTCTTGTTGCCCTGATGATGTCTGTGATCAAGTGCAAGAGTGACTCTGATTCCATGCAAATTATCCATTCCACTCTTTAAGCACATAGGACTTCCATTGTCTCACTTTACTTTCTCTACAACCTGCTCTCAAAGGATAATCTGATCTGAGGCATCATGTGAATTTCAGCCTATGGGTTTCTATTCTTGTGAATATTTGAATTCATTCCTCTCACTTTTCATTGAGAAGTGTAGTGTTGAGTAAGGGATTTGAGGCCTCGTAAAGCAGACGAGGGAGGGGCATTTAGGGAGAGAGTAAGGAGGGTGTGTCTGTACGAGGATTAGGTCTTCTTGGGGCAAGGACCAGGGTATTTCCAAGTCTGTAAGGACATATTTGGTATTACCAATGCCAGATAAACAGGATCGTATTTTGTCCATGTGAATCCTATGGCCAGTACTGACGAGTCTAGAGGCAAACCCCAAAGAAGGACCAGCACAAGCAAAATATTGTTCAAAAGCTGACTATGGGTTGGGTGTGGTGGCTCATACCTGTAATCCCAGCACTTTGGGAGGCTGAGGCGGGCAGATCACGAGGTCAGGAGATTGAGACCATCCTGGTCAACATGAAGGAACCCTGTCTCTACTAAAAATACAAAAATTAGCCGGGTGTGTTGGCGGGCGCCTGTAGTCCTAGATACTCAGGAGGCTTAGGCAGGAGAATCACTTGAACCTGGGAGGCGGGTGTTGCAGTGAGCCGAGATCGCACCACTGCACTCCAGCCTGGGTGACAGAGACTCCATCTCAAAGAAACAAAACAAAACAAAACAAAACAAAACAAAACAAAACACTGACTATGCTGGAGCCAGAGAGGTTCAAGGCAGTGAGAATAGAATCACATGGTCATCGTCCATGGAGCTGTATAGCAGAGCAACATGGCTACAGACACTGCACCTGAGCCCAGTAAATATCATGCCAGAGGCAGAGGAAAAGGAGGAAAAGGCCTAACTGGACATGTGCAGTTGAGAGACGGTTATTCAGTATTGAGGCTTACAAGGAGAAGGGTGTGCGTGTGGAGTAGGAAAGGATATATGAAGATACCCTGAAGGAAAGGTAGAGAGACATGGGTTCAAAGCCTCATGTGGGAAAGCTTTGAGCCATTGTGTGAGCAAGGATCTTTGTGCCTGGGAAGGCTTTCTGTATTTCCATTCTTGGGTAGGCCCAGAACAAGTGGGAATATAACATTTCAGAGAGACAAACATCACTGTTTTCCAATTCTGGATCAAATCTTGGAAGATAAACTTGTTTGGGTGGATAGTCTACAGTAGACTGACTGACTCCAGTGGTTACTCTGCCACCTAATGAGCTGCTTCTCCTCTTTGGAGCTGGCTCAGGACCCAAACAGCATCAAACCCAGAGCTATCAGGCCTTTGAGAATTAGCTGAACAGGGGCTAGGAAAAGCAGGGAATGATATTACAGGTGTTGACAGCTGCACATTTTCCTATTTTTCTCTTTTTCTCACCTTATCAAAACAGATCTGTCCTATGCATCATAATCCCTGGACCTAGCTGTTTGTTAAGGAACTAATCAATTAATTTTGCAGGAACATTATGACTAACTAGAGTATAATGTCATTATCAGAACACATTTGGCATAGATGTGGGAATGGAAATGAAAAGTGAATTTACTCAGAGGAATGGGAAAACGGGATCAGGGTGTATGTGAGTGTGCATGTGTGTCTATGAGAGGCAGAGAGAGAGGGAGAGGGAGAATTAATAAACTTAAGAAAATGATTCCTCCATAAGAACTGGAGTTCTGGAGTTCCTCTGGCATGATACTTCCTGGGCTCAGGTGCAGTGTCTGTAGCTATGTTGCTCTGTTATACAGCTCCATGGATGATGACCATGTGATTCTATTCTCACTGCCTTGAACCTCTCTGGCTCCAGCATAGTCAGTTTTTTTTGTTTTTTGTTTTGTTTTTTTTTAGATGGAGTCTGTCTCTGTCACCCAGGCTGGAGTGCAGTGTCACGATCTCGGTTCACTGCAACATCTGCCTCCCAGGTTCAAGGCTGAAGATATATTACAGATCTCTCTCTGTCTCTTCAAGCTCTGCACTCTTCTTTACCCCCCAGATATTATTGCTCTCCAGGGGTTTGCCATGGGAATAGATTTCCCCACTGCTAATAGGTTTCATGACTGCCCTACCCCTTAGCGATCTTCTTTTGCCTAATCAATTACATTTGATCGGGGGATTATATTTTTTATTTTTATTTTTTGTTTGAAATTGCCATTTTGAATTCAGTTGATATTTGCCTCCGTTTAAAAAAGAAATTTTTGGCCTGGCGTAGTGGCTCACACCTGTAATCCCAGCACTTTGGGAGGCTGAGGCAGGCGGATCGTTTGAGTCCAGAAGTTCGAGACCAGCCAGGGTGACATGGTGAAACCCTGTCTCTACCAAAAATAGAAAGATTAGTCAGCTGTGGTCGTGCACATCTGTAGTCCCAGCTACTCGAGAGGCTGAGGTGGGAGGATCACTTGAGCCCAGGAGCTGAGATCGCACCACTGCACTCCAGCCTGGGTGACAGAGTGAGATCCTGTCTTGAAGTAAAAGTAAATAAATAAACAAATATAAAGGAGAAGATTTTGAGGCTGTAAACTTTCCCTTCACTAGTTTTAGCACTTTAAAAATGCATCACTGAGTCGGCAGTGTGCAGTTTTGCTGTTTCCTTTTATTTTTGGAGTGAACTCTGCTCTTCATTCAAAATTGTCATAGTAAATTTGGGCCCATGAACTCCTAAATATCTCTGCTTTTCTACCTCTTGGTGAGTCACATGCACTGCTTTCTTAGACTTTAAGTTGATGAATGCCAAATCTTTTTCTCCTGGTTTTCTCAGAGAGATTGGGAAGGGGTGGGAATGGTGTTTAGATGTCCTCACAGATTTTACTTTTACTGCTAAACTTTTCATTTCAAAATTTTCTGCCACTTGATGTTACTTCATCCATTTTTAGGGGGTCTCTTTCTCAATTATTTTTATTTCTGCTTTGCTATTGTTGGAAAGTTTGCAGGGGGATTTTCAACCTTTATCCTGATGTTTTGCAATTGGTATTTTTATATTGTTTTGAAATTTGTAATTCGAGTTTTGTTGCAATCCCAAGTTGCATAAATGGCATCCAGCCCTCAGGATTGAGGCTTACAAATAATTTAGATTCATGTTTTGAGCCAGTTCACCTTCATTTTCATCAGAGAGCTCATGGGTTCAAGTGGGTAAGCAGATGAATGCGCCCAAAAGTCTTCCTCATTCATTTTGCACTCACTGGTCAGTTTCTCATTCTTCCTTCAACATGGTTCTGCTTGGCTCTGGTTGCCCTGACAGAGAATTTGGGGACAATTAGAGAAGAGCCCTGAAATCCATTGCATGATGAAAGCAAAATTCCAGGAAGAGCATATTTCATTTTCATGGTAAAGTGGGGAGTGGGTGAAGCGAGTCAGAGTAGAGTGAGGTCGATTGCCCACCCACTGAGCTCTAGTCTCATGTTGTACAAAAAATTATCCTCGGGTTTTTGAGCTTTGAGGTGCCTCCCACCCCAGAATCCCTCTAGCATTTATTGCTCATTTCTCTCCTCTGTTAATTGGAATGTTTTCTATATTCTAGGCTCCAATCAGCTTAAAGTCCTTGCAAAGAAAGAAATTGTGCCCTGTCTCTCAGCGTCGACCATAGCAGAGAGCCTGGGACATGAATGGGTGTCATTATTTATCTGCTGAACAAATAGGTAAATATGTTTCTTTGTTCCCAATGCAATATATGGTAGGCATTCAATAAATGTTTATTAACAATTACTAATAACATATTTAAACCCACTGGCCATTTATACAGCTCCACACTTTTTTGTTCCATGTGAAGCCTGCCCATTTTTCCTTGATTATTCATAATTCTTGATTTTGTTTTTTGGAAACAAGTAAAAAACAACTGGGATTGTTCTTTTTTTTTTTTTTTTTTTTTTAGCAGAGCTTATGAGAGCTGGACTGACAGGCTTAATACCACATTGGGGATGTATTTACTAACAAACTTGGCTAAGATAAATATTAGCTCTGAGACTGTTAGGAGGAAGACGGAAAGTCATCAGTTTATTGTATGTGTGCCAAGAATCGGCTTACCTTGAAACTTTCTGTGATGTGGTCCCATTCATTGATCAGTTAATCAGGCAGCTCACTGCTAGAATTTCTGTTTTACTTCATGTCGTGTAGACCCAGAAAAGGTATGTTTTCTTGCCTATCTTGATAGTAGGTAATTCAGGCTAACTCAGTGTTATCCTTGAAAATATCATGATCACTAGAATAGAAAATCATAAGATGAGCACTTTATCTGAGGTTCCCAAGACTTGTTTACTGGAAGCTAGATGGTGTAAAATGCAGTGCTTTGGAGAATTCTGTTACGAGGTAATCTCCTTGTGTTTCAAATGGTGACACAGCTGCTGTTCTTATCTTTTAGTGTACGTGTCTCCCCTTTTCATTTTGTGTCCCCACCTTCCCCAATCAAATCCTCTTTCAAGCAAAACCTGAAACATGGCTGTCATCTTCTTGGATGAATTTGAAATTCAATTGTAAATTACATCATTAGGCCTATCTGTAGAATTTTGGGTTGTGGGAATAATGAAGAAATAATAAAGAAGTAGTACTCTGAGTACCTGGCACATAGTAGGCGTGCAATAGCTGTGAGCTTCGTAAATGAATATTCGTGCTGAAAACACAACTATAGAAACATAGGCAGCAGCCAAGAATCGTTACCTGCAGACCAAATTCAAGTGCCTCCGTGACACGAAGGATTAAAGGTGACAAAATGCTGTGTGTAGGAAGTAATCCCAGATTGATGAAGGCGGCCCTTCTGAAACCCAGAGAGAGTCTTCCAGAATACATGGAGCTAAGTGGACTCCATGTGAACTTTAAGTAAGTAGTGGTTATGGCTGGAACCATGCAAAGGACACACTGATCTCAAAGTCTTGTTCATCTTTTTTGGCCAAGCTTTTGTTCTTCTTTATATTAAATGTTTTACAACCTTGAGGAGTAGAAAAGCAATATTTTTCAGGAAAATGAGCGCTGAAACTAAAGCATTAACCAAGGATCTCCTCAATTTTCTAATGGTCTCATTGTGCTCTCACACATTGCATCTAGTTTTTGTTGTTGTTGTTGTTGTTGTTGCTATTTTTCTCTAGATTATTTAAAAATCAAGTGAAAAACTAACTTTGCTTTTTTTAGGCGGAGAGGAGTGAATCCCTCGTTCTGATGTTATATTTCTTCAGTTGATCAGTGGAAGATGCTCTCACTCTCCTGCCCACCAGTTTCACTCAAAACCAGTCTTTGCCATTGCTAAATAACAAGTATCTTCATTGTAATTGTACAGGGCCAGATAGAAAGATTGGCTCTGGACCTTGTGCCCCAAGGACCAATAAAGTTGCAGTCATTCAGAAATAGTTCCAGAGCCAAAGCTTCCCTATTTAAAGTGCCTACATCCAATTCTTTAGAGTTAAGCTTGGTACCATTAGTTGAGTCTTCCTGTCACCTCTCAAGGGACAGTGGCAAGCTCTTATGTAGCATTTGTCCTAATTTTCTTGCTGGTATCAATGTCCCCAGAACTTTCCCTTCAGTTGTGTGGGAAGGTACTTCTTTCTTTGTTCTGCCTCTAGTTCCTGGAATGATTTGAACGTCTGTTGCATGCACAGTATGGGCTTTCTTCTGAATCAGGCTTTTTCACCCTGACTTTGTTCTTCTTTTTTTTTTTTTTTTTTGAGATGGAGTCTTGCTTTGTTGCCCAGACTGTAGTGCAGTGGCATGATCTCGGCTCACTGCGACCTCAACCTCCCGGGTTCAAGTGATTCTCCTGCCTCAGCCTCCTGGGTAGGTAGGATTACAGGCACATGCCACCACGCCTGGATAATTTTTGTATTTTTAGTTGACATGGGGTTTTGCCATGTTGGTCAGGCTGGTCTTGAACTCCTGACCTCAGGTGATCCACCTGCCTCAGCCTCCCAAAGTGCTAGTATTACAGGCATGAGCCACCACACCTGGCCTGTTCTTTGTTTTAAGCAGTGGCTACAGAACACTATACAAATAGATGGAAACATTCAGCTTGATTCCAAAATTACTTGTCCATTCTCACTTCCCATTATTCCCTTTCAAGCAGGATTATTTTTTCCTGTCTATGACTCTCAAATTATCGTCTGTGAATTGGAGCCTTTGCTCACATGGTTAACTCTGTCTGGAAGGTCTTCCTCCAACTTTGCATGTTTAAGTTTCTAAACATTTTACAGTGATCAGCTACTAGCCCACCTTCTCCATGAAATCCTTCTGGATGTTTGTAGCTGGAGATACACTCTCCCTTCTTTGCACCCCTACATCTATTCAATAGTATGTTGTGCCAATAGTGTTTATGTCTTGGTGGACCTAGGCTGCCACATTTTTGGAGGCAGGACTTTGCTTCCTTGAGGTTGGTTTCCAACCAAGAACCCTCTTAGAGAAGTTGCTCAAAAAGGTTTATTCAGGCCAGGTGCAGTGGCTCATGCCTGTAATCCCAGCACTTTGGGAGGCTGAGGCTGGTGGATCACCTGAGGTCAGGAGTACCAGACCAGCCTGGCCAACATGGTGAAACTCCGTCTCTACTGAAAATACAGAAATTAGCCGGCGTAGTGGCAGGCGCCTGTAGTCCCAGCTACTTGAGAGGCTGAGGCAGGAGAATCACTTAAACCTGGGAGGTGGAGGTTGCAGTGAGCTGAGATCAGGCCACTGCACTCCAGCCTGGGTGACAGAGCCAGACTCCATCTCAAAAAAAAGAAAAAAAAAAAAAGAAAAAAAGAAGCAGATGTGTTTGTAGGTGCATGTCTGTGCTTTGGAGAAAACTTAAGTTGAAGTTTTGGAAACTGGTTTGAAAAATAACAGTAACCTCATAGTATATGTAGTCAATTATTTCATGCAAAGTATTCTATGTCCTGGGAATAGATGTCTTGGTGTTCTCTAAAACCTGAGAGATATGTCGCCCCTCTAAGTTTTGCTTCAATTCAAATTTCCTAGAGTTACAGCTAGGCCCCTCAGGAGCTGACTCATGATTGCTGTTCACCTTTATTAATTTTTCTGGCACTGAAACATGTACTTTGAGTTTTTTTTTTGTTTCTAAAAGTACATAGTCACATCAGAGAACTTTCTCCGACTTCTTTCCCCTCAGTATCCTCTGTTCCAAAGTATTTTCATAGTGGAAGGTAGCAGTTCTATACCCTCAAAGTTAAATTTAATTGCTATTTCATAAACTTCCAATGCAATTCTCTTTTCTTCTTTGGAAATAGGGGATCTTTATGGCACAAACCTTTCTAGTGATTAGCAAAATTTCAGTAGTAAATTTACATATAAATAAATTTGATTCAGAAAAGCCATGCACTGCACATAATAAAGTGATTTATAACAGGAAAATCTAAAGAACTAAAACACAGACTCTGCCCTCAAGGAACTCAAGGCAGCAACTATGACAGATACATTTTTAAAAAAGAAACATAGTCCTGTGTCATATGTATACAATATAGCTATTAATAAAGAATATAAAAAATGAAGCATTTAAGAGTCTCACAAGAATATTGTCATAATTAGTGAGATACTGTGGAGACACCTTCATGAAACTGAAGGTCCATTTCTGTTTAATGGGGATATCAATGGTCATTGCATAGTAGGCCTCTTTTATGAAATAAATAAGTTAACAGGGCTAAGGCCTTTAAATACTGGCTGGTACATGTTAAGCTGTCAATATGTGCTAGCTACTTTCAATGGTCATTTCTTGTTGCTATGAGCTATTTCAAAGCTCTTCATAAATAGATGATAATGCCACCATTTCCCAAGTAGGGAGAAAGACTTGGTAATAATAGTTATTCAAACTATATAGAATACGTTGCAATAAAGGATTATGCCACCTAGAACTGTGGAGTTATCACTATTGAGAAAAAGAATTCCGGGTCTTTTTTTTTTCCCCCATTACAACTCAACTAAAAAAAGAGACCCTTAGTGTAAAACATGTAGCCTGCACACAAAAACATGTCTGATTGACTTTCAAAGACTCACATAAATTAAACATCTCTTGGATAACATCAAACCTAACCAGTTAGTTCCCAGGTCTCTATATAAATTGCCACATAACTTTGTGCCAAAATGAATGATGGTGGCTGTGTCTCCTGGATGACCAAAATCAGACTTAAGGAGTGAAAAAATAAACTGAGCACATTCTTTATTGCCACATCAACAAAATGAAACAAAATGATTACTTATTTTTGGGGGGTTATGTTGATGACAGATATTGTAGGCATATCCACTCACTCTCAATTTATTTTTAAACACCCAGCACAGTCGGGGTTACACAGTGAGGAAAAGTCCAGCTGAGTGACCTCGGAACAGTTGCTACCAATGCCAGACATCAATTTCACCCTCTTAGATCAGAATATACCTCTCTTGTTCCTTCCTGAACTAAAAAGCTACCACCTAAAGAACGTAATTATATTGTGGATACAATGATTTGGCATTCATTTCAAAGTTTCTTTTAAAGGAATAGTTTAAAGTGTGTGTGTTACAAAGTGCAGAGCATTGCTCAATGTTGATTTGTCAAACGATGACAATTTAGCCCTTGAAACAAACGTTTCCCAAAATAACAGCATTTGGGAAACTTTGAGCTCTATTTCAGTCCTTTCAGAGAAACTGAGAGGTCTTTCACATTCTGAAGGCAGAACACTGAGTAATAGAAGAAACGAGAAGTCCTCTGTCTCCATCCCTCTGCCTGGGGACCCACTGGACTATTATTAGCATGGGATACAAAATAGATTTGGTAAATATTGGAAAAGTCTTGCCAAGCAGCGTCTCAAAGACATATGGTCTTTTGTAAGTGCCATGATCATTATAAACAAGCAAGATGTTCTAATTAAGGAAAAGTCTTTGTAAGGCAACTTGTTTTACAACTTAGCATTGAGGTTCCAAATTAGATAGGCAAAACTTTGGGGGTTGGGTAACCCCTATTCCTTCTTCCAGGCGGACTCTTTAAGACTGAACCAGAAAGCTGCCATCTCTACTTTGACCACTAGAGGGAGGGCAACTACGTGAAATTGCTCAGCGAGGAGGCGGTTTCTCCAATCCACGCAGTCACCCTTCCCTTCTCTCCTCTGTCTTCCCAACAAATCAACCAGCGGTAGAAAAAGATCTTTAGCTTTTTGAGAGAAGGAGAATGTAGGGAATGTGTTTCATCAATGCATATCAGCCCTCTCTTTCAACTTTAGTTGGGGTTATAGTGTGGGTATTACTTTTTCATTTTTACAAACCTCTCTAAACAAAGTACAGATTTGGTGGAATGAGGGAATAAATGGCCAGTCTTCTGAGTCCTGTCTTGTGGAGTGTGCCTGGATTTTCTACTATAAAATGATCTCTTTTGGGTTGTCATTAATCTTTATAATGATTTCATGGGATAAAGGTTGGACTAGAAGAACTTTGATAACTCTTGCAAGCCCAAAATTCTGATTCTGTATCCTTCAACTGGGGTATGAACTTGTCAAGGGTAAGTAAGTAAGTAAGGGTAAGTAAGTATAAGTAGGTGTTACTTATAACACCTACTGCTAAGGCCAATCCCTTATCAGATGCTCACTAAGGAGTCAATGATTGATGAGACTGGTCGGTTTATATGATTACTTGCCATCTAGAAGCACTCATAAAGAATGGGACATAGTTTTTATGCTCAAGATGTATATTGTCTCAAATTTTTTTTTAACTTGTTGAAGCTTAGGACAGTAGTGGTTAAACAAAATGCTTATAAATAGTACTCCTTTTCTTCTCTCTGTAACCTCCTCCCCTGGTATGTACAAATACATACCCATCACAGGCAATATACCCCACACACCAAATACACACACATGAGCACACACACATTCAGGTTCTAAGGCAAAAATCTTTCCCAAAAGACAGTATGCTAGAAAACAAGCAATTGTGGGGACGATAGTCTTCCTTATCCTCCTAAAGCAATAAGGAGTACAATAAATAAGAAAACAGAACTATTTATGATTCACTACAGAAAGAGGTGTTTGTAAGTCTTTTATAGCACCATATAATTATAATCATAAAAGGCAGAGACTTAGAAATAATTCAGAGATGATAGTGATGTTAGAAATCAGCCCTCCTCTTTGGGTTCTTGTTTCTTTGAGACAGGGTCTTGCTCTCTCACTCAGGCTGAAGTGCAGTGGTGCGACCCTAGTTCACTGCAGCCTCGACTTCCCAGGCTCAAGCAATGCTTCCACCTCAGCCTCCCAAGTAGGTGGGACCACAGGTGTGCACCACCATGCCCTGCTAATTTTTGTGTGTTTAGTAGAGACAGGGTCACACCATGCTGTCCAATATGGTATTGAACTCCTGGGCTCAAGTGATCCTCCTGCTTGGGCCTCCCAAAGTGCGGGGATTATAAGTATGAACCACCACACTGGCCTTTTTTTTTTTTTTTTTTTTTTTTCTTCGAAGCAGTAAACCGATGCTGAGGAGCTACACAGGTAGTTATTGGTGTGTGGGGACCACAATGTAGGTCTTTTTGCTCCAAGTCCATTCTGTTATATTTTGCAGTAGAAATATCTGTGCAAGGCCGGGGGTAGTGGCTCATGCCTGTAATCCCAGCATTTTGGGAGGCCGAGGAGGGCGGATCACGAAGTCAAGAGATCGAGACCATCCTGCCCAACATGGTGAAACCCTGTCTCTATTAAAAATACAAAAATTAGCTGAGTGTGGTGGCGCAAGCCTGTAGTCCCAGCTACTCGGGAGGCTGAGGCAGGAGAATTGCTTGAACCCTGGAGGTAGAGGTTGCAGTGAGCCGAGATGGCGCCAATGCACTCCAG
The DNA here is from genome assembly GCF_000001405.40 of Homo sapiens. Lineage (NCBI taxonomy): Eukaryota > Metazoa > Chordata > Mammalia > Primates > Hominidae > Homo > Homo sapiens. The sequence goes on from NC_000006.12 coordinate 18,598,209, forward strand.
CCTGGTGACGGAGCGAGACTCCATCTCAAAAAAAAAAAAAGATCTGTGCAAGCTGTCCCTAGCATTGAGAAGCTGATCTTTCTATTAGGTTCTGAAAGCCAAACTATATAAGTAACAAGAATCTGGAAAGGAAGTTCAGTTGGAAAATATTGCCAAATAAAAAATGAACTAGGACATAAAAAGTAAGCCTTCCCTAAAGAGAAGAATTCTAATAGGAACAAAAAAATGCCTAAAAATAAACTATGAAATGGCTTTATTGTTACTAATTTAGAGCCATTAGTAACAAACATGTAGACACTAAGTAAATGCATGGTTTATATCTTGCTTTTGATTGAACCACAGGAAGAACTATGAATGAGGACATAGAACAGGCTTGAGGCTGCTGTCTTTAATTTGATACTGCCCCTTTAACATAAAGAATGTAAAAATTATCAAAACCTACCACAGTAATCTGAATACTAATAATAGAGTTGCTGTCTGTGTTTGGTGAGACTACAAATTCAATTAATTCCAATGCTGGTTCCAATAAGCTCTTTATGAGTCTAAAGGGATTATTAACACTGTGAAGTCTGAAAGATTGAATCACAATAACAATTTCTTGCAAGATTTTTGAAGCTTTGAGCAGGCTTGCTTTCATGGAAATAATAATCTGTTAACCTAATGCAGTAGACGGAGCAAGCAGGAGAGAGGGAGCAAAGGAATGAGGGATAAAAGGTGGAGAGGGGAATCACATGTCTCATTCTGATTCATCTGCCAAGTCAAAGTCTGAGCTCAGTGCCAATGTCAGGTTTGTTTGTTTGGTTTTTTTTTTTTTTTTTTTTTTTTGGCTGACCCCAAAAGGATGAGTTTCGTTTAGGATCCATTTTGTAAGACTGGGATATTTGACAAAGACTGAATAAGGCTGGGATCTTTTTGAAGTCCACGTGTGCAACTGTAAATAAACTGACTTGGTCTCTATCTAGGCACCTAGACTGGGCAATGTGTCTAATTGGCAGACATGGTGCTGGTGGTGGTGGCACTAGTGGTGGCAGGGAAGCGTCATTCCATAATCTGGTAGTAGAAAAAAAATAACAAATTATTTGAGAATGCCCTTCAAAAGAAGTAGGAGCTAAGTCTCTACTGGTTTGTTAAGTGATTAATTTAGGTCTAAATATTACATTATCATGGGCAAAATACTTCCACACAGTCAGGGTTCAACACAGTCTTCACTCATTTATGGCTAGAGGCAAACCTCATCCTTAGCCCGAGTCTGTACTTTTGTTTTATTTAAAATACATTCAAGGTTTTCATAAATTCAAGGCCTGAATTGAATGACTCTTCTATTTCACCAGAAGCTATGGGGGCCCATATTTTTCCAGTGTCTTATTACGTGGTGTTAGAGTCGTGCTATCCTTGCTATAAAAATACCTTCTCGGCCTGGCACGGTGGCTCACGCCTGTAATCCCAGCAGTTTGGGAGGCTGAGGCAGCTGGATCACCTGAAGTCAGGAGTTTGAGACCAGCCTGGCCAACATGGTGAAACTCCGTCTCTACTAAAAATAGAAAATTAGCCAGGTGTGGTGGCGCGCACCTGTAAACCCAGCTACTAGGCTGAGGCAGGAGAATCGCTTGAACCCGGGAGATGGAGGTTGCAGTGAGCTGAGATCATGCCATTGCACTATAGCCTGGGCAAAAACAGCAAAACTCCAAAAAAAAAAAAGAAAGAAAGAAAATACCTTCTGCAACCATATTGTCACATTTCCTTCTCTCAGCCTTTGCAAATGTATAGATCACATCGCCCTGGGCTGGGATGGGGTTTCTCCTGCTCTACTTTTATAGGAGTCTGAGCTATTTCTTTAGCCCCCTGGTCCCAAGGACAGGTCTCAGGGCATGCCTCCACCCTGGCTGACTGGCCACGTACTGACATAGTCATTGGTCCTGTCTCTCTTTTCTGGTCTTGATAACTCTCCAGGCTTCTCTACCAATACTACCAATTTGCCACCAATTAATCTGTGCCCAGGGTTGAGATGACCCCTCATCTGCTGCTCTGTGGACGTCTCGTGTGTCATCTGTTCTGATCCACAATGTCTGGGAACTGCTCCTCAGTCCACTGGAAACTGTTGGGAGTTTCCTCCCCTAGTGAGGGAAGGGATGGCAGAGCCTGCAGGCAGCAAGCTATTTGAATGACCGTTTCTTAAATACAACAAGCCCTTTCTTTACGCCCTTTCCTGTTTCTCTGCTTCCCAAAGACTCCTTTGCTGTATCTATCCAGGATGAAAGTGTTGCCTCAGGCACCTCAAAGATCATTAAAGTGAAAAGCCAGGGAGGGGAGGGGAGCTTTGAAAATCCTATTGCTCCACCCTTCACTCTGGCCAGTACTGTGGGTCACACAGACCTCACTGATGTCCCTGTGTTTTCTCTCCCATCATCTGTCTTTCTTCCTGGTGTGGGGCAGTCATGGAGCTGGGTGGGTCGGCCAGAGGGAGTAGGAAAGCATTGCCCGAATGTGGAACCGCTTTCTTACAATGCCTTTATTTTGAGCCATAGGGAGGGTTATGGGAATTAAAAATACCCACTATCCCTTGTAAGGTAGAAATGTTATATTTGGGCAAGTTTGACAAATGATGAGAAGGGAAAATGAAAGTGGGGATAGTAAGAAAACAGACTTCTTGGCACTAAGATTTCTTGGGTCTTGGGCAGCGCAGTTAGATCAGCCTGCTTTGCTAGGCTGTGGGCCTTCTGGTTTCTCATAGGAGAGTCAGCTTTTGTCACTGCATTTTTATTCTGGTCCCAGGAATCAGAGAATGGAGGAGGAGAATTGCTCACATGCCACGTGGGCTCCCTCATTTTCATCTGGAAACAGTTGTAGGAGCCATTTCAGCATCTCCTGGCTCTTGTTCGTTCAAAGTCCTAGGAAGAGAAGAGGGAGGAATATGAAACCAGAGGGGGAGACTCTGTGTACCCCCAGAGGCTGCCTGCCCATGGAAGGCTGTCCCATGGGCAATGCCATCCATGAGTGATCTTCTCTGCACCCTTAACTGAAAGATCCTGGAGTTGAAAAGACCCCAGCATCATGATTGTTGGGAAAAGCATGAACATTTAAAGTGTCCAGAAGGCCAGGGGAATATATGAACTATGTGAACAATAAAGTCAAGAAATAGAGAATTGAAGCAAAAACTGTTTAGGCAATCCCTGAAGCCCACCTTCGAAAAAGCCGTTACTTGGAATGACTTGACTACCCATTGCTGTCTACCTGGTCTTGAGCTGGAGTTGCTCTCAGTGAGCCAGGAAAAGAAATAACCTTAAATCCGGGGCAGAGCATAAGTTGTGTGCTTGGTCTCAGCCTGGCTGGTGATTCCAGTGGCCAAGAGGACAGGACAGAGTTTGGAAGAGAGGAAGAGTGCCGAGTAGGACGGGGTGCCAAGGAGATGCTGCTGGCGATGGAGCAGCTGGCATCTTGCTCTCACTGAGATTGTCTGGCCCAGGAGGATCCTAATTACAGCACAACTGCTGCCTCCATAATCACTGTGACAGGAGCAGTGTGGGCCGGAAGGAGATGTGAGATGGAGCTGGTGGCTGCTGAAGAGGATGTTGGAATCATTGTTCTTTGCTGGGGCTTCAAAGGGGGCTGCTGCCAGCTGCCTGCTAAGGTTGAAACAGCTGCCACCAAAAAAGGGGCCAGCCCTTCCTGCCTCATCTCCAGAGGATGCACCAGCTCCAGCCTGCAGGTCTGCCTCCGGGCCCTCTGGCTAGAGGGGGATGGCAGGCTTCCAGATAGGCCTTTGAGTAGTTCTGTTTATGGGAGGCTAGAGGGAGAATTCAACAGTATGGTGAGGGGGTTCCGAAGAGCTGGCTGGGAAATGAACCCAGGTTAAAAAACAACAAAATAATACACTTCTATGGAATTATCCTCAAATCAGAGAAAAGAACTGTGAAATTAATCATTTGAGGATACTGTTTAGGTGATCTTCTGGAGTCGTGTCATCAAGGAAAAACAAATCCCTTCCTCAGCCCTCATGCTTCATCTGAGATTTTTTTGTTTGTCTGTCTGGCAAAGTCCCAGGTTTAAGGGTGAAAAGTCTCCTGAATGGTGACACGAACAGTACCCTTGAGGCCACCTTTCCAATGGAGTGTGAGAATTAGCTGGGGGCATCAGAGATAAACCAGGGGTGTCAGAACTGGGGTGAAATGCATGCCAGTGGGAAGGGAGGCAATTGTGGAGACGGATGTATGCCCTGCTTTGATTTGCCTGTTTTGCTTGGCTTTCAGAAAAATACCAAGACTGGCCCCTTTCAGGGAATTCCAATAAGGCAGTGGTGTTCTCTGCAAGCTTTTACCAGGTTTTTTGACTTTTGATACTAAGGAAACTTCTGGAAGAAGAAAAGGCATAATGCATTTGTTGGCCAGTCATGTTCCCCTTGGGAGACAGGCAACTGGTTACAATGGCGCTGACATGTGGAAGAGTGAGCTGCTGATGCTCAGAATGGGCTCGCTAAGGGAGAATCCTTGCACAGTCCTAGAATTTAATAGCTTCTTCCTCCACTTGATTCAGCACAGCACCCATTTTATTGAGCCTCTGGTTCCAATGCATTACATCATCATACTATTTCCTATTGCAGTATGTTGGGCCTTCAGGCTCCTGTGTGTCAAGCCAGTCATTCTCATGTAGTCTTTTCGGGATCTGGGATTTAGCTCTAGATTATGGCTCCTTTTCAGTTGCTTCACTAGATAATAGAACAAAAGTGGCAAAGCTGGGAGGCTGAGATGTCCACATCCTAATTCTTTGTATAAAAAGCTACTTTATATTTTGAGGGAGGAAACTTTTGTTTCCCAGGCTTTTCTGTTTATTCCTTACAAATCCTTTTCACTTAGTTTATAAGACCAAATGTGACTCTAATAACCATTCCCCTTGAAAAGCAGCCAGTGACAGCATCTCTCACATGTTGTTATCAGAGACTGCAATTTCACCATGAACTTCTAGTTGAGCCTTTGGAGAGCATTTGGAAGAAAAGGGGACTCAAGTTTCTTTTCCACACTTCTGGTAGTATTGTAGACCCTGATTTTTGACATTCGCGGTAGCCATCAGAGAGATTTGGGCTTTGGATAGGGAGGTGGAACTGGAATTTGGAAAGGGGTAGAAGAACCATTTTAATGTGCTGTCACTGCTATAACATTTCATATATCTTCCAGCTTTAAAAATTACAGAATCATTAGAATGATGATATATTAGGCGAATTGGGCATGGTTTGACTGCAATATGTTAGGCTGCATGGCAGCTGGTTTTTCTCTTAAATGATAATCGAAACAAAGAATCTCAAAGAAGACAAGAATAGAATGGCTGTTGGCATTTTAATGAGTGTCGTTTTGGAAACAATAATTAGAATCTTTGCCGCTGTATTCAGGGGGCAAAGATTAATTGAGTAAATAACACCATATACATATATATAGCTTATGGCTGGCCCCAGTGCACCATGAATCAGCTACTATGTGTTCACACATGGAATCATTTATGGCCCTTCGAGTAGGGGGAATGGAAACCATGCAGCCTGGATGGTGTGCTGTTGACATGAACCATTGGAAAGTGTTATTTTCTTCCTCTGGGTATTAGAATCTCCCCACCCCCACACTTGCCCAGTATGGTTTTGGCATTGACTACTAAGGATGGGGTTGAGGATAGAGGTGGATGTCTCCCTGTTCCCCAGATTCACATACAGACCACTCAGACTAATTTAGTTTCCTATAACTTCAAAACTTTGTTTTACATCTAGGCTAAATAAATTACGTAAAGAATTATGTGATTACTTATTGTGTTGTTTTGTTGTGCTTTAATTGGCTTTGTACATACATCTTAAATGTGTGTATACACATTTTTATCATAGCTGATCAAACAGTTGATTTAGTATGGTGTTAACTTGATATTTAATATAATCAAAGTGTTGAACAATAGGTGAAGTTATATAAACTAGTGTATACACATGTGGATTAATATATAGACATTACTACTAATATTTATGAATGCAAAAATGCTCAATATATGACATTAAGTACCAAGATGAGAATACAAAACTATATATTACAGTGATCTCATATCTGTCAAAATATTGCAGAGGAAACAAACATATAGAAAATATGCCAAAGTATGAATAGTGGTTATCTGTTGGTAGTGAGATTGCAGTTGATTTTTCTTTTCTGAAAAACATTTTCTACAATAAACACAATTTTTAAAATCAGAAAGGTATTTTTATTCTAGAACTTTCTCTTGGACAATTTTTAATAAAAATATTTTTTATAATAAAAATAGTTATAACATGGATTTTTAAAAATTTATGTAGCATTGAATATAAGTATTTCCTTTACACCTGCTCAAAGAGTTGACTGAATATATCTAAATAAAATTGGGGAACCAGGCTCTGATCAGGAACATACCACTATTAGAAAATAGTTTCTAAAAAAAATATGGTCTGAGGATATTTTTACTCTCATTGCCTTCTGTAGGCACATAATCTGCCAGGAATTGGGGGCCTGCCAGGGGGCTTAACAAATGAGGTTTATAAGCCTTTCTTCAGTTCATATTGGTAGCACTTCCTTACTAAGATGTAAATACCATGGCTGGTGAAGTGGAGCCGTTAGCATTGCGAAGTATATTGGGGGATTTGAAGAAAGGGTCAGGAGAACCATCATGGGCTATGATTGCAGATCAAAGGCAGGAGATGCTCTTTTCTCCATCCTCTGAAAAGATAGGAAATATTAGCTGTTCATAGGTGGAGAAGAGAAAATCCTCTTGCTTTAAGAGCTGACCACACAATGTCTTTTGTAGGAAAGTGCTATTGTTTGGCTTGACCATTTTGCTTGGGTAAAGAAAGCTGTTATGGCCAGGATGATCTGAGCAAGAGAAGTCTTACTTGAATGACTCTCAGTGAGAATCAGATGGGACATTTGGAGTATAGGAGCAAGTGTAGTAGGGAGGAGAGAGAAGGAGGAGGAGATTAGGGGTGTGGGTATGGTTAACAATGTAGAGTCTTAATAGAAGACAAAAAATTCTGTAGTCATGATAGAGTGATGGTGATATTTGACAGCTGCAGGACTTTTAAGAAGAGGAGCAGGAATTTCTCTTCTGCTAGTGTGTGCTACATTATACAGAACCATCCCACCTCCTCAGCCAATGTGACCTAGAATTTTCAGTAAAGAGTCTGCTATGTGCCATGGCCATGTGTCAGTAGTCGTTTTGCAAAATAAAAAAGAAGGGGTTGCATCCCATGAATGAGTTGACATAAAAAAGAGAGAGGGGGATGACCACAAGAAGAGAGACATTAGGATTTTGGTATAGAATTGGAGCCAAAGACGTCAATATAAAACATAAGCCTCCCGAGGGTCCCCAGAAATACTGAGAGGCTTGCTGGGCTCCCTGCTGCATTTAGAATAAGGTTTGAAACAATTTGATCAGAATCTCAAAGGCAGAATCACCCCAGTTGACATCTGTGTTACATTTGTACTTTTGCAAAAGCAGATATTTAATAGGGAATACTTTCAGGTTAATTGACTAATTGATTTTGGCTAACCAAATGCCTAGTTCAGGAATAGCTCAGTCCAAAGTTTGGACATTTATCAGGTCCAAGTAGGTTTAGTCTTTCACTGCTTGGTTTAAGTGATACAATTTGTAGTTGAGACTTGCAATTGTCAATTATCTGTTCTCCTGGCAATATTTTAAAAAGCAGGCATGGGAAGAAAATAACCATAAAGACATTTAATCAGTTAGAAGAATGGGGATTATTTCTCCCTACTGGGTGATGTTTTCCAAAAAGTCTTCAGAGAGTTTAAGCTGATTAATATCTGTCACATCAAAACCGCATAATTGCAATTCAGCCTATTAGAATGCCCATATCTTATGGCACAGGGCACAGCAATCAACTTGTCACCAAAATTCCATTCGTTTATTACTCAAACAAATAAGAGAGCAGAATTGGATATTATGCATGCTGGTAGTGATTTTTGGGGCTTTTATTTTTCCCTTAGTAATTGAAGTGTTAGATCCGGGATATTTCCAAGTGTAAAAGCCAAATCCATGAGTATGGCAATGGAACACATCCTGGTATCAGCTATTAATCAAGGTACTGAAAAGTGATGGCAAGAGACCTCATTTTGGACACTTCAGTTTCTTATTCATGAATTCAGAGGATTTTCTTTTTTTAAATGTCTTTTTCCCCCCTCTGTCCTCTGTTTTTTATTAGATGATCTCATTTTATTGGGACCAACTAGGAAAAATGAGTACATAGGGATTATCTGTGCTTAAAAATGCACATTTATGGAAGTGTAATTTCAGGTTGAAGTATTATTAGACAAACTAAATATGGCATACTAAAAAAGGAGTAGAGAGTAGGAGGTTTGGCTTTAGTTTATACTTTATTTCTTGCCAGCTCTGGGATGTTGGGCAAGTCACTTAGCTTTTCAGTCCCTCACTTATCTAATCTACTGGATGGGGATAATGATATATGTCCTACCTGCAGACACAGGATTGAACTAAATGACAACCTCCCTGCCCTATCTATACAGCACTTTCCCTCCAGAGCTCCTTACCCCACTTTATTTTTATTCATAGCATTTATCACTACCTGACCTTTTACTATGTATATGCTTGATTTTTTTATTATCTGTTGATCCAAATAGAAAGTCAGCTCCATGAAAACAGAGCTCTCTCTGTGTTATTGCCAGTACTAGCGCAGTGACTCACATATAGTGTATGATCAATAAATATTTGCTGGAAAGACAAATTCTAGCTCTAAGACCTAGGATTATAAAACAGAAAACAGAATCCGGTATAGTCTGGTGGTTAAGCTCAGTTGTCAAGATGCCATAGTTCAAATCTCAGCTCCATCATTTCTGGTTGTGTGACCTTGGGTAAGTTACTTAGCTCTTTAGGGCTTCAATTTTAGCTTTTGTCACAGGTAATATGGACCTAATAATATGCCTCATAACTCAAAGTTGTTAAATAAATACAATAATTCATGTAAAGTAATCAGCACAGGATCTGAGTTTAGGTCACTTGTTGCTATGCGTGTCTGGGTTCACAAAGCATCGACTCACCTTTTCCAAGCTAGGATGAAAAAATTCAGTGGTATCCCAGAGAAGACTTACAATGACAAATGTTTGTTGTTGTTTTATAATGATACCATCTCCTAGTAATCCAATTTTTAAGATGTAGTTATGTTTGCATTTTTGAGGTGGGAGAACAGACTGAAAGTTCTTTTACCGGATGACCTCCTGTCACTATCTTATGGTCTTACTGCATGGTTAAAGTGACAATCAGGATGGGGACAGGCCAAGTTGAAGTAGGTTATGAATTATTTTGAGGCCTGTTGGCTGTTCTTGCGTTGCTATAAAAAATACCTGAGACTGGGTAATTTATAAAGAAAATAGGTTTACTTGGCTCATGATTCTGCAGGCTCTACAGGAAGCATAGTGCTGGCATCTGCTTCTGGAGAGGCATCAGGAAGCTTACAATCATGGAAGAAAGTGAAGGGGGAGCAGGCATCTCACATGGCAAGAGAAGGAGCAAGAGAGGAAGAAGGGAGAAGGGGAGGTACCACATACTTATAAACAACCAGATCTTGCAATAACTCACCACCAAGGAGATGGGCTAAGCCATTCATGAAGGATATGCTCCCATGATCCACTCACCTCCCACCTGGCCCTACCTCCAATACCTGGGATTACAATTCAATGTGAGATTGGTGGAGACAACATCCAGTTGATATCATTCTGTCCCGGGTCCCACAAATCTCACTTCCTTCTCACATTCCAAAATACCATCATCCTTTTCCAATAGTTCCCCAAAGGTCTCAACTCATTTCAGCATCACTCAAAAGTCCAAAGTCCAAAGTCTCATCTGAGACAAGGCAAGTCCCCTTCCACCTACAAGCCTGTAAAATAAAAAAAACAAGTTGTTTACTTCCAAGATACAATGGGGGAACAGGCATTTGGTAAACATTCCCATTTCAAAAGGGAGAAATGGGCTAAAAGAAAGGGTCTACAGTACCCACACAAGTCTAGAACCCAGCAGGGCAGTCATTAAATTATAAAACTCCAAAGTAATCTCCTTTGACTCCATGTCCCATATCCAGGGCACACTAGTGTGAGGGGTGGGCTCCCATGGCCTTGGGCAGCTCTGCCTCTGTGGCTTTTCCATGCTGAGCTTGCAAGCTGTTGGTGAATCTACCATTCTGCGATCTGGAAGGCAGCAGTCCCTTTCCCATAGCTCCACTAAGCAGTGCGCAGTGAGGGAGTCTATGTGAGGGCTCCAACCCCACACTTCCCCTTGGCACTGCCCTTGTAGAGTTTTTCTGTGAGAGTTCTTCCCCTGCAACAGGCTTCTGCCTGGCCACCCAGGCTTTCTCATAAATTCTCTAAAATCTAGTTGGAGACTGCCAAGCCTCCTTCACTCTTGCACTCTGTGCACCTGAAGACTTAACACCACATGGAAGCCATGAAGGCTTATGGCTTGCACCCTTTATAGTGGAGCATAGGCCTGAGCTCCTTTGAGCTGCATCTGGAGCTGGAGCAGCTGGGATATGGGGAGCAGTATCCTGAGGCTGTGTAGAGCAGTGGGGCCCTGGGCCTGCCCTCTGAAATCATTCAGTCCTGCTAGGCCTCTGGGACTGTACTGATCATGGCTGCCTCTTCGATCTCTGAAATGCCTTCCAGGTCTTTTCCCCATTGTCTTGGATATTAACAGTTGGCTCCCTTTTAGTTATTTAAATCTCTCTTACAAGTGATTGCTCCATGACCTGCTTGAGTTCCCTTGGCAATAATGCTTTTTCTTTTCCACATGGCTAGGCTGCAAGTTTTCCAAATTGTAGGCTCTGCTTCCCCCTTAAATATAACTTCCCACTTTAGATCATTTATTTGATCCCATATCTGAACATAGGCTGTTAGAAGCAGCCAGACCACATCTTGAATGCTTTGAATTCAAGGATTGATTGAAGATTAAGTCAGATGGCCCTGAGCTTGTATGGGACTTAGCAGGATGAAGCTGTGCTTCTGCTCAGACCCAATTTCATTCCTCTGCTGTCTTGAAACCACGGAAACCCCAATAGCTGAAGGAGATTAGGGAGGAATAAGGAAGACAGGAAAGTAACATTTACTTAGCACCCCCTATTTGTCAGTTACTGTTCATCATTTTAAAAAGTGGTTATCTCATCTAGTCTTTATAATAATTCTTAAAATAAGAATTTTATTTATTTAATAAAGACCTGAGGCTGAGGAAGGTTAAATAACTCACTCAGCATTGATAGCAAGTAAAGGCCTGTACAGAGGTTTGAATTTAGACTTTTCTGACTCAAAAGACTGTGCTCTTTCAATGTAATAGTCTGATCTCCATAGAGAGGGACAGGACCAGGTGGGCTCAGCACTTAGATCTAGAAGAACTCATGCAGAGCATCTGCAGCAATGGGGAACACTGAGTCAACCTGCTTTTTAGGTGGCTCTTCCATATTTCCCTCCAGCTTAACATCTGAACTGGACATAGCCTTAAGGTAAAATCATATAGGCTGATGGAGAAGCAGAGTTTACAAACTCTGCTTCGTCCTGGCCCCTCACTCCCCAAGACTATGCAGATTTAGGTACTTTTCCTGTGCACTCCTATATGGTACTTTGTGAATGCACCCAGCTCTGTAGTTGACTCATTGTTTTCTTTCTTCTTATGTGTCTGTCATCTGCTCTAGTATGTGATATCCTTGAGTGCAGGGGAAGTAGCTTAGTCATCATTTTGTCCTTTCTGCCTAATACACTGCCTGGCACAGAGTTGGTATTCATGGCTGCTGAAACTTTGAGTGAGGTGAGTGGATGGGAGTCATAGTTGGAGTTGGCCCTGAAAATGTCAGCAGATGTTGCTTTGCTTCTGTTATGATGACTCTGTTTTAGTATTTTGGTTCCATGATCTTCCTTCCTGTCTCTACTCTTTCTTCCTGCAGACAGGAATAAAATGGGCAGCAGTGGTTCTAGAAGCAAGGGCACTCTTCTTTCTGTGGGAGAGTGTGGGAAGAAGCTGGTGGTGTTGAGCCAAGGCTATTTCATGCACAATTTGTCTATCTTGGGCTAGGTCAAGAAGTTATGCCTTGACTAGGAATGGTTTGCCAGAGTTGAAAAATACTGTAGAAGTCACTGATTGGAGAGATGAAGGTATGTAAAAAACCACAGATGGTACCCATGGGAAGGAAACCTATTATGGTGTTGTCTTTGGTCAAGCATCGTATTTTAATTGAATACCAGCAATTTTTATGTGTACAATGTAAACTTCTGCCCTGAAGCTAGAGAGGCGGTTTAGTGGAGTAGTTACATGAATGGACTCTGGATCTAGTCTGCATTCGAACCTGGTTCTCATACTTACTGGCTCTGCTTGTGGTAAATGTTGGTAAGACCCATGTTTTAGTTTCCTCATCTGTAAAACAGCAATGTTTAGATGATTACATACATTAATTTATATGACACCCTTAGAAGTATGTCTGCCACTTTGGAAGCATTATTGAATACATTATTATTATGGGATTGTTCAAAACTTTATAGAAGGATTGTCATACAGATTTCAAAACTTTGAGGATTTGCCTGTCAAACTGGACAGTGTGCGTTGATGCTCACTTTACGCTACAGTTTGCAGTACTAAAAAATCAAAGAAGCAAATGATGGGTAAATAACTAAGTGTAGTGGAACAATCACTAGAATCCACTGGATTCAGAATTGAAAGTCCTGCCACTAATAGCAGCATGATCTTGAAAAAGTCCCTTGATCTTTTGGTCTCAATGTTCTTTTCTTTTATTTGAAATGAAACTGTTGAATTAGATCTGAGATGGCAGGTAAGTACAAGTCAGTTGCTAGTCCACCCACCTGTGGCCATGGAAGGCATGGCTAATAGATATCAGCTCACTTTCCTACTGCTTGTAATGTGGCTGTAGACTGCAGGCCAGGAAGCCATTACCAGTTGATTGGTGTGGGCAAATAAAAAGACGGATTTTCCACTCATCATATCATATGTTCTTGAAGGTCCCTTCTTGCCCTATACATCTGTGATTTAATGACTCAAAAATGAGTGAATATGTTAGAAGTGGATTTTTACAGATTTCATATAGCTAGCATTGGGAGATTTCCAGAAGGCTGAAGGATTCAGGGAGATTGTAAAGCTTTCTTCAAAGTCAGGATAAGAAAATGTTCTCTGATTGTTTATCATGATTCTTATGTTTAAAGGGGAAATCTTCGAAGTAAAAGAAGACCCAGTAAGGAGGAAGTCTGGATGTTCAAAATTCTTTCTTTCTGGTATTGCCCAAACCTGCTTTTTGGAAAGGACTGCATATGTTTTCAGGTAGGCAAGGTGCAGTCACTTTGCCCTTCTGACGGAAGATGTTTGAAGGTACTAATGATAGATTTTGATGCGTTTAAAATGGAGAACTTCCCATGAAGAGGGCTGGCTTCAGATCTGTGAGTTGAAAACAAAGCAACACAGGGGAGTAATCAGAGGCCAACCATCTTTCCTGGTTTCTGTGTATGCTTCCTATAGATATCGTAATCAGATTTTTGACAAGCAACTGATAACCTTGGGTAGAGCCTGGCTTTGTGACAAGGTGCTGTTTATTTGGAATTAAAGTTTGGGACCCTAGCCTATTTGTATAAATATATTTCAAAAAAGTGGTGATGTGGACATCTTTCAGAGAATGGTGTACATTTCAGAAAAGGCTTTGGTGTTGAGTTCCCCTCTGACCCTCATGTTGCTGAAATCTCATTTCTCCTCTGCTTTTGGAGGAAAACTCTGGTGCACGCATTCCTGTTCTTATAATTTCTGAGCTAACAGTTTCTGCATATCTGAGACTGGTAAATAGCAACTGCTGAGAAATCAAGAAATGTAGAACTGAAGAAAGTCACTGTCATCGTGCATTTGGGCTGCTACAACAGAATACCTTAGGCTTCATATTATAAAGGACAGACATTTATTGCTCACAGTTCTTTGATCTGTGAAGTCCAAAATCAAGGTGTCAGTAGATTTGGTGTTTAGTGAAGGTCATTCTCTGCAAAGAATCCTCTAGTATTGCTGGAGCAGTTTTGGGCTTTCCTGAAATTTACATTTGTGGATTTCTCTCACGTGTGTGTGTTTTTTTAAATAGAAAAGTCTTTTCGAGTTTCTTTGAGATGATTGGTGAAACTAGAGCCGAAAATGGTATAAGGAGAAATAGATAAAGTGAACCAACTATTGGAAGGTGGGGATGGTAGAGTAAGATAAGTGAAGTGTGTTTTGGGGACTTTCTAGTTCCATTAGTTTTGTTCACAAAACTGAAGGTTAGCATGTTTGTGTGTCCTCGTTGCTAACTTTGTCAAAACTTTGCTTTCTTACTAGCTCTAAAATATAAGGGACTGGTTACTCTTAAAGTTTCTCCTTGCTTGGACAACATCCCCTCTATTATTCTGAAATCACTCTGGGAGTGATTACCAACCACGATAATCATACCCACAGTGAACACTTTCTGATCACTCATTATGTATTAGGTGCTGTTCCAAGCACTTTCCATGCTGTCTCTCACATCATCCCCCCACTTCCTTATGTGTTTGGTGTAAACTCTCATCACTGTCTTATGGATGGAGCATGTGAGGGCTATCAGATAACTTGCCGGGGCTCACATAGCTAATACGTGGTGGAGCTGGGATTTCAACCAATGCACTATCAATAATGTTCCAGAAATTTTTTCTCAGGATATCATTTGATCAGGGTTGTTTGATGACATAGTGAAATGTTGCAACTGATAAGGAGAAAATGAAGTTGGCTAAGTATTTTGTATGGACCATAAATGAATTATAACCTGTGTGCTTGGTCTTCCACTTTCAATGGGTTCTCCTGGCAAATGTGATAAGACGTCTGAGAACAAAGCAGTCATGGAGAAGACAGGAAATCATGATAGGCTGACAGTCATTGTGGAAATAAAACAAATGTTGAGGTGTCCTTAAAGTCTAATCACTAGTCTTATACTCTAAAGGGAAACTTTGATACCAAGCATGAAGAATTTAACCCTCTTCATAATTCCGAATACTGGGCATATAATTTGTGTGGGGATTACAACCTGAATCTTCTTAGGTACCTCCGGTTTCTGACACAGCAGCAGTCTTTGAATCACGGAGTGTTTTTTCCCTGCCGCTTAATCTTTGTAGCAGCCAATTTATAGACGGGAGGAGTTTTTACTTTATCTGTTCCAACCACACTTCCACTTTATACTTTTGTACTGGGAAGCAGCTTTGGCTGTCTGTGGCTCAGTGTAGGTGTGCCAGTGTGAGTGCACTTTCCTGTGTGTGTATCTGGATATTCCTAAAGATGTTGGAAATAATAGTGAACAAGTAAGGGAGGGAGAGGACCTTTATTGTGTAACAAACTGAAGGCACCAAGGAGGCTGCATTTGTTGTGAGTCAAAAGGTTTATACAAAGATTTTCTTAGTAATGTCTAAGATTTTAATAGGGTAATTAATCTTTTTAAATGTTAGTGCCAGATTATGGGATCAGCTATTATCCCTGGCTGCAGAGTGGTCCTTTGTGTGTTGCTATGAACAGGGCTAAGTGAAGAGAATACTCAGGTTGCCAAACAAAGATATGGCTGCAGCTAGCTTGTTTAGGTTTTTAAATGCATTTTCTTGTGCAGTTAAAAGAACTCCTGTTTCCGTGGGGCTATCATTGCCCTTTAATAGCCATTGAGTTGAGGGGAGAGATAGAGGAATAAAATACAGGCTTTTTGCTTTTTACTTCTTAACAACCAATTATTATTATTTTTAAAATAATGATGGGTATATTCATTCGAGACCTTATTTTAAGTCAGGAGAAACAATTTAACAGAAAGAAAGCTCTAAAAGAATAGGAGTGAAAGGTTTTCATCTGATTTAAAAGTTTGGCCTGTTTCTCTTTCCTTAACCTAAGTTTAGTGAAAATTGCCAAGCAATCCAGCAAGCCAACAAAAATGAAAGGGAAAACACAGCAGCTAATGAGACTTGGCTGTGGCCTTTAAGCAAGAGTGATTATTTAACATAGCTTATCAAAATATTGATTAAAAATAGATGGCTTGTTTCTTTCAAGTTTCGATACATATGAAAGAAAAAAAGTTCAGAACATAGGGCATCATGTAAAAACCCTGTAGGTATAATGATATTGTTGCAGCCCAGCCATGACCTCTGCTCTGGCTTTGCTTAAACTACCCCTTGGCTTCGACTTGGATTTCTGCTCTCGCTGTCTAAACGAGGCAGTTTGTCAGAACCACATGTCTATTTGTTTGGCAATTGATTGTAGTTGCTGCTTATTTTCCAAACTGTTCCAACTATTTTGTTTACATGAACTATTGTGATTCTCAGCTGCTAAATACTGCTGTAGACAAGATTTCTCTTTTGAATTGTAGCTCTTCCCCTGTCCATGGGGCCACACCCTTTGTGTTAGCTCCTGTATTGTAACCAGCTGTGTACCATAGGAAAGATTCCTAGGTTTGTTCTTTCTTGCTCCTTTCCCTTCCTTTCCCTTCCCTTCCTTTCCTTTCCTTTCCTTTCCTTTCCCCTTTCCCCTTTCCCCTTTCTTTTCTTGGAGTCTCACTCTGTCGCCAGGCTGGAGTGCAGTGGTGTGATCTCAGCTCACTGCAACCACCGCCTCCTGGGTTCAAGTGATTTTCCTGCCTCAGCCTCCCAAGTAGCTGGGACTACAGGCACTTGCCACCACACCCAGCTAATTTTTGTATTTTTAGTAGAGACAGGATTTCACCATGTTAGCCAGGATGGTCTCCATCTCTTGACCTAGTGATCCGCCTGCCTTGGGCTCCCAAAGTGCTGGGATTACAGGCGTGAGCCACCGCGCCTGGCCGGTTTGTTCTTTCTTGAATAACATCTGTATTTGGGGCATTAAGTTCTACTTATGTTTGAGGTACACCAGAGGTTGCTGGTGGACAGTGGGAAGACATTCTGTAATTTTCTTGCCGTTTATATTGAAGTGATATGAGAATGATGACTTACACAAGATGTATCCAAGTATTCTCCTGTGTAGAGCAGAGCGGTGTGTTTTACGCAAAGTTTTGAGGAGTAGGGGAGAACTTGGACTGAATGTTTTAGTGGTCTTAGAGTCATATTAGTGCCTTAAACATATCTCTAAAGCAGCAGTCAGTCATCTCTCCCTATCAAACTTACAGTACCTGAGCTGGTGGGAGGAGGGCCAGAGGAAGAGGGAAAGATGCTCATGAGAGTAAGAGGATGGTTGGGATGCATGGGCATGTCACACAGCCTACATGCCAAAAAATGGGTCATGCAGCAGCCTGGGGTGGGGGTGCATGCCAGTGTAGCCCATATATTTTAGGTGATACTTGCAAGTGATATTCCCAGACTGTTGCTGCTCTTGAGGGAATATTACCCAGAGACTTTCATAATATTATTCAATGATGGTCAAATAAGAAATTATGTTTCTCAACAAAAGGGATTTAAAAATGCTCTTCTCATTGTCACACCATGCAGAATGTTGATTATGCTGGACAGGTGAATCTAAATAGTACATGCAAAAAAGTGTGTGAGTGGCTGCAGCATCTGGCAGTCATTCCTGTTAATAACTAAAAGTAACTGCCAACATTTTGCACAGCATATATGTGGGAGAAAAGCATCCTGGATAAATCAATAATACTGATTCAGGATTTAAAATGAGTATTAGCCTTTGTGGATGAAAAGCCCAAGCTTTTGGGGCAATTCTTAGGGATTAGCATACTGAAGCTATTCAAGAGACAGGAAGAGGGTCAGCACTGCCTGGAAGAATCCCAGATGGAGAAGAGGAGAGACAATTTGTTAGATGAGGAGGAAGTGGATATTGAAGTTAGGAAACACTGTATACTCCCTATTAGTGGTTTTATATTAGTGTGTGCACGTAGGTTTTATTTCAATGTATGGCTTGTAACATATCCTTTTGTTTTACTAAAACTCTGAATGTTGTTGAGTATTTGGTTGGGTGGACTGTTCTTGACTTTTCCAGGCAAGATTCTGGGTCCCATATTGGCTCAAATGGAGAAGTAGGAGCTCAGATAGAAAGCTGCCTTGATAAGCCTTACTTCTGAGTGAGTGTGCTCAATGCCAGTATAAGTGAATAGTCACAATGGTAAAGTAAATAAGAAAATCCTCATTTAGATTGCATTTGAAATGTTGCTAAGGACATGCTGTCAATGTGGATAGGTAAAAATCTTTCTATGGCTTTTTTTTTTTTTTTTTTTTTTTTTTTGCTGGCCATTGTAGAGGTGAAAATAATTGAGGGGAAGAAGTGATAAGGTGAGATCGAGAGAGAAGGTGAGCTTCATTCCCCTCGATGGAGAGCAGGTTAGAGTAATACTTTATTCTGTTACAGCCATTTGTCTCATTAGGTCAAGTATCCACAGGTTGGAACTCAAACATTTTTTTTCCAGTGCTTTAGTGGGTTCATAACAGCTCTAGCATAAGTCACCAGGAATAGTGAAAAGCAAGCAGAAATTCAACCTGTTGGTGGGAAGAATGACTACACTTTCATGTAATTTATCATAGTTTCTCATGTTCTGGAAAATTCCAGATACAGAATTGTTTTATGGATGTCAATATATTTATCAACTCAGTTTATGAGAGTCCTAGAGCTTTTTTTCACATCAAGCAGAGGGAAATAATAAATCTCTTTTATGTAGAGACTTTATTTTCTTTTTAATATCTTAAAATTGGGTTTTAGGCTAATTCATGGCCATGGCAAAAAAATCAGAATTAACAAAAGCATATAGTTAGATGTAACAAAATACTGAGTTCTTTTTATTTTAATTTTTTTTGGCAGAGAGTTTGTGTTGCCCTCTTGCATTTTCTAAATAAATAGAAATCACAAATATATGCTTTTAATTTGGAAGCTTCTTCTTTTGCTGTGTTTTATTTTTGTTTTAAAACTCAAGTGTATTGGTTAAATTGGTTTACTTCTTAAGTAAATCGAATCTTAGAAACTCTTCTGTGATCTTGGAAAATGTCCATCAGGTGAAGCTGGAGTTGGGGCCTAATGGGAGGTTATGTTAGGCTGTTCCTGGCATTGATATAGAGAAATACCTGAGACTAGGTAATTTATAAGAAAGTGGTTTAATTGGCTTACAGTTCTGCAGGCCACACAGGAAGCACAATGCTGGTATCTGCTTCTGGGGAGGCCTCAGGATGTTTCCAATCATGGTGGAAGGTGAAGGGAGAGCAAGTGTCTCACATGGTGGGAACAGGAAGGCACAAGAGAGAGATAGAGGTGTCACACACTTAAACAACCAGATCTTGCATGAAGTCACTGACTTTTTCAAGGATAGTATCAAGGAGATGTTGCTAAACCATTCATAGAAATCCACCCCCATTATCAATCACCTCCCACCAGACCCCACCACCAATCTTGGGGATTACAATTCAACATGATATTTGGGTAGGGATAAATATCCAAATCATAATTCTGCCCTGATCCTCTGAAATCTCATGTTTCTCCCATTTTAAAGTACAGTCATCTCTTCCCAACAGTCCCTCCAAGTCTTAACTCATTACAGCATTATCTCAGAAGTCCAAAGTCCAGTGTCTCATCTGAGACAAGGCAAGTCCCTTCCACCTATGAGCCTGTAAAATAAAAAAACAAGTTATTTACCTCCAAGGTACAATGAGGGTCTAGGCACTGGATAAACATTCCCTTTTCAAAAGGGAAAAATCAGCCAAAAGAAAGGGGCTATAGGCCCCACTCAAGTTTAAAACCCAGCAGGGCAATCATTAAGTCTTAAAGCTCCAAAATAATCTCCTTTGACTCCATGTCCTACATCCAGGGCACACTGGTGTGAAGATTGGGCTCCCAAGGCCTTAGGCAGCTCTTCTCCTGTGGCTTTGCAGGGTTCAGCCCCTGCCAGCTGCTCTCATGTTGTCGAGTGTATGCAGCTTTTCTAGGTGCAGGATGCAAGCTGTTGGTGGATCTACCATTCTGGGGTCTGAAGGATGGTGGCCTTCTCACGCTCTACTAGGCAGTGCCCAAGTGGGGACTCTGTGTGGGAGTTCCAACCTCACATTTCCATACCACACTGCCCTTATAGAGTTTCTCTGTGAGGGCTCTTCCCCCATAACAGGCTTCTGCCTGGACACCAAGGCTTTTCCATATATCCTCTGAAATCTAGGCAGAGACTCTGTGGCTGGGATGCAGGGAGCAGTGTCCTGAGGCTGCACAAGGCAGCAGGGCCCTGGGTCTGGCCCACAAAACTGTTCTTCCCTCCTAGGCTTCTGGGCCTGTGATGGGAGGGGCTGACATGAAGGTCTGTAAAATGCCTTTGAGACCTTTCTCTGAGTGTCTTGTCTATCAGCATATGACTTCTTTATGGTTATGCAAATCTTGCTAGTAAGTGGTTGCTCCACAGCCTGCTTGATTCCTCTCTGCAAAATCTTTTCGTTCTTTGTCACATGACCAGGCTGCAATTTTCCAAGCTTTTACCAAGCATTTTCCAAATGCTTCCTTTTTAAATACAAGTTCCAACTTCAAGCCATTCCTTTGCTCCCACATCTTCACATAGGCTGTTAGAAGAAGCCAGGTCACATCTGCTGCTTAGAAATTTCTTCTGCCACATACCCTAGGTTATCACTCTCAATCTCCAACTTCCACAGATCCCTAAGGCATAGACACAATTCAGCCAAGTTACTTGGTAAGGCATAACAAAAGTGACTTTTGCTCCAGTTCCCAATAAGTTCCTCATTTCTATCTGAGATCTCATCAGCCTAGACTTCACTATCTGTATCACTATCAGCATTTTGGTCAAATCACTATCAGCATTTTGGTCACAACCATTTAATCATTCTCTAAGAAGCTTGAAACTTTTTCTCATCTTGTCTTCTGTTGAATTCTCCAAATTCTTCCAACTTCTGCCTGTTACTCAGTTCCAAAGTTGCTTCCACATTTTTAGGTATCTTTATAGCAATGCCCCACTCCTGGTACCAAGTTTTTTGAGTTAGGCCATTCTTGCATTGCTATAAAGAAATACTTGAGAGTGGGTAATTTATAAGAAAAGAAGTTTAATTGGCTCATGGTTCTGTAGGTTGTACAGGAAGCATAACACTGGTATCTGCTTCTGGTGAGGACTCAGAAAGTTTATAATCATAGTGGAAGGCTGAGGGGGAGCAGCTGTCTCACATGGTGGGATTAGGAAGAAGCAAGAGAGAGAGAAAGTGAGGTACCACACACTTTTAAACAAGCAGATTTTGAAAGAAGTCACTGGCTTTCAAGCAGACAGCAAGAAGGGAGTGGTGCTAAACCATTCCCATTCCTGAGAATCCACCTTCATGATTCTATCACCTCCCACCAAGCCCCACCTCCAATACTGGGGATTATAATTCAACATGAGATTTGGGCAGGGACATATAGTCAAACTATATCAGAGATGTCCGGGTCATGGGGATGGATCCCTCATGAACAGATTAATGCCTTCCCTGAGGGAGGGGAAGTGAGTGAGTTCTCACTCTATTAGTTCTCATGAGAGCTGGTTGTTAAAAAAAAGCCTAGCATCTCCCCGTGCCTCTTGCTTCTTTTCTTACCATGTGATCTCTGCACACATTGGCTACCCTTCACCTTCTGCCATGAGTGGTAGCTTAAGCCCTAAGAACTTAGGCTACCTGCCCAGGGTCATCAAAATATGTTTGTCAGAGCCATGTGCAAAACCCAGACTTTGGACACCCTAACCTTTCCCTATTATAACACTGCATTGTGTGTTTGTTTGCATGTCTTTTAGCCAACCTGATTTTGAAAATTAAAAACAGAAAAACAAAGAATGGTACAAACTATGATCACCAATATACCAATATACTCTTCATTATTTGCTAACATTTTGCCACATTTGTCTCTCTCCATATGTATACATATGTATGCATGTTTCTATATATGTATATGCATATGTATATCTTTTCTACACTTTCTTTTTCCTTTTTCTCTAACCTATTTGAAAGGAAGTGGCAGCTGTCACCTTTATATAGTTCAGCATGTGTCTTCTAACAACAAAGGCATTTTTTTCTCCATAAGCACAATAAATGATCACAACCAAGATTTTTAACATTGATACATTATTATTATTATATAATATTTAATTTCTATTCCGATTTTCTAGCTCATCATATAAGTCCTTTAGTTTTTCTTCTTCAATTTAGTGATCTGAGTAGGGATCACACCTTACTTTTAGTTGTCAGATTTGTTTAGTTTCTGTTAATCTGGAATAACTCTCCTGTCAGCTTTTTAAGGGTCTTTTATAACACATTTTTGAAGAGTTAGGCCCTGTTGTCTGGTTGAATTTGGGTTTGTCTGATTGTTTCCCCATGATTAGATTCAAGATAAGCATTTTAAAGGCAAGAACACCCCATAGGTAATGCTATTTTACTTCCCATTGCATTACATTTATACACATATATAGTTGGATTGTCCCATTATTGGTGAGTATAATATTTACGTTTCTTTCTAATAAATCTGTACGAAAAAGACATTTTAGGGCATGAAAAGCACTATGAGAAGAAAATAATCTCACCCAGATAATTCTATGTGTTTGTAATAGAAAAAGTCACACAATCAACACAGACTTAGAAGTAAATTTTGAGTTACTCAAAGCAGTGTGTCTTGCATCTAGGGCATTTAAATCTGATGACTGTTGCTGTAGTCTAAATGTTTGTGAACTCCTCCAAATTTATATGTTGAAACCACAACCCCCCAAGGTGATCGTATTGGGAGATGGGACATTTAGGGGTTGATTAGATGATGAGGGCAGAGGCTTCATGGATGGGATTGGTGCTCTTATAAAAGAGGCCCAAGGGACCTTTTTTCCCCTTCTACCATGTGAGGACACAATTAGAAGACACCATCTATGAATCAGAAAATAGGTCCTCACCAGACATTGAATCTGTTGGCACCTTGATTTTGGATTTCCCAGACTCCAGGACTGTAAGAAACAAATTTCTGTTGTTTACAAGCTATTCAACCTCTGGTATTTTATTACAGCAGCCTGAGCAGACTAAGACAACTGTGTTCCAAGATACCGATTTATCCAAAATTCTCGAATTAGGCATAATTTGAGAACTACACTAAAACTACACTCTCAGCTGTACTAATTCTGGCATTAGCTAAACCCTTAATTAGAAGTTGTCATTCACAGTGGGAAGCAGAGTGGAGTCTGGGGGCAGGGTCCCATAGGAGAAAGATCATGAAGAATTGGGTAGTACTGGAGAAGAGAAAGTAGTAAAAATATTTACATGGGCTCAGGCAATCCATAGGTTTAAAGTTCATCCTTTATTCCTTTGATTAAAATGCAAGTTAACAGTCACTTATCACTCAATCACTGGAAGATGAAATGTAATGAATGGGTCTTTAACATGTAAGTCATGCATTTTAGTTATTTCTCCTAAGTCCAGTATGAAGTCTTTATGGAATACAAGAGAAATCCCTCTATATTATGGAAGAAATTGAATGAATGTGCTACCTTTC
This sequence comes from Homo sapiens, assembly GCF_000001405.40. NCBI lineage: Eukaryota > Metazoa > Chordata > Mammalia > Primates > Hominidae > Homo > Homo sapiens. The sequence continues at coordinate 18,621,675 of NC_000006.12, forward strand.
CTGGAGTCTTCCACATTACCACCTCTAAGCTTTGTGCCTCACTTTGCTTTCCAGACCATGCTGTCCATCAATCACTTTTTCTTTGACTCATTGGCCAGTTCCATGCAAGTTATCTTTTCCTGTCTTCTTCCATCCTCATTTTACTTCTTTGGCTTGTAGTCCTCTCAGACATCTTTCAGAGAAATCCCCTCTGTGCTAACTTGCCTCTTCTCATATACCTTTTACTCTTACAGCCTTTATCTAGCCCTACAGATAGGATCTGGAAAATTGCCTTAGTTTCTAGAAGTGTGGCATCTGGGCTTCAGTCACCTCACTGTCAATATATAATACTTTTATTAATAAATATCAGATGTTGTGATCACAGTGCAATCTGAGTTTCTCTTTTCCTTCTATATAGAAATTGCTTTCGTTCTTACCTCATAACATGGATTTCTACATTTAAAAATATTGAACATCTCATGTCTTTTTATAACTGGATAACTGTAGGAATACTCAAGGATACCTTGAATGTATTATAAACCCCAAGTCAGAATAGCTTGGCTCATTCCTGCTAAGTGCAGAATGGCATTAGTCCTGAGAGCATGGTTTTCATACAAGGAATACAAAGTGTTAAGGGTGTATTGACATGTACTGCATTCACATGAATCCTGTGTTCAGAACTCACAGGGATGCATTTCAGAAGTGAAGAGGTTGGCTACTTTACATATGGTACCTTGTCTTCTCCTTCTATGTCCTGCCCCCAACAAAATGGATCAGTCTTGGAAGCTGAAGGCTATGCTATCAGCTAGCTATGGCTTAATCACTAATTCATAACTGAAAATCTTGAGTGCTAACCTTTTGGGGAGTAATTACAATGTCTTTATGTGTGGCCATAAAGAACCGGTGGTAGAACACAATTAGGAAGGTTTTTTTTTTTTTTTTTTTGTTTTTTTTTTGTTTTTTTTTTTTTTGGTAGGGGAAGTAGACAGGAGGAAGGCTTTCATTTTGTTTTGTTTTGTTTTGATCTTACAGATCATGTCATTATCAAATAACTTGTATCTCCCTCCCTCTCATATTTAGAATTGAGTATCTGAAAATGTAATTCATTTCATGATTTTTCTTGACTATCTAAATGGCTATTATAAAAAAGATGCCCAAACTCTGTTGATTTTGAAGAAAAAGAACTGCTCAACCGCATTTCAAAAATAAAACCTATTGCTATTCTTTCATTTATAAAAGTCATTCAGACTTTTTATAAGAAATTTTAGAAAATATAGAAAAGCAGAAGGCAGAAGAATTATCATCTAGTCTTTTGCAACCACAATAGTTTTGGTGTATTTGGCCTTTTTTTTTCAGCAAAGAGTTTTGCTGATTTTATTACATAGTCGTTACTATATAGAATATGTACATTTTCTTTTTTAAACAAAACATTATAATTTAAGAATCTATCATAGCAAATTCATAGTAATTATTATTTTAATGGTTGCATAGCCTTCTATTATAATCATGAGCCACAATTTATTTAATATTCTTGTTTGTAATTATATAGTTGCTCTCTAGTCTTAATTATGGGTAAATCTACAATAAAAATCTTTGTAACTAGATATGTTCCTGCATTTTAAACATTTCTTTGGGGTGTTGTGAATATTGATACATAGCTTTGCAAAACAGTAGGGACAGATCATATTTCTGTTATCAATATCTGTCATTACACAATGTATGCATATGTGAATAGATAGGCAATAACTTTACCATCAACATTGTATATTATGTTTAGAAAAAGGCTTTGCTAATTTGATAGACAAAGCTTCCATAATATTGGAATATTATGAAGTTATAGCCTTTCCCATGTTCTGTAATCCAGGTGTATTGCCTTTTTCATGAATTATCTATTCATATCTTTTTTCATTTATCTTTTGGAAGTTTTGATGGTTTAAATATCAAATTTTATTACTTTTTAATAGAACAAAGACAAAAGCCGTTTGTCTATTTTATTTATTATAGACAATAATTTTGTCTTGTTATTTGCCTTTTTACTTCACCCGGTTTTAACTCTATCTTCTCTATCAAGCAGAAAAACATTGTCACTGGAAAGACTGAAACTAACATGAGTGGAAAAGAATTGAAGCTCAAGAAGGTGAGAAGCACTTTGCTTCTTCAAATGAGAGAAACTATTCATTCTTTGATCAAGTATTTTGTAAGGTAATGAAAAAATATGAAAATAAGTGAAATCAATATGTCGAAGAGATATCTAACATCTGTGTTCACTGCAGCAGAATTCACAATAACTAAGACAGAGAATCAACCTAAGTGTCCATCAGTGGATGAATGGATTAAAAAATGTGATATATATACACAATGGAATACTGTCCTGCTATAAAAAGAAGGAAATCCTGTAATTTGTGACAACATGGATAAACCTGGAAGACATTGTGTTAAATGAAATAAGCCAAGCGGAAAAAGACAAATACCTCATGATCTCACTCATATGTGGAATCTAAAAAAGTTGATTTCATAGAAGTAGAAAGTAGAATGGTGATCACCAGAGGCTGGGACAATTGGGAAGAGGTTGGGGAGTTGCAGGTCAAAGGCTACAAAATTACAGTTAGATACGAGGAGTAAAATCAGGAGATCTATTGTACAGCATGGTGACTACAGCTGATCATGATTTATTATATTCTCAAAAAATGCTAAGAGAGTGGGTTTTAGGTGCTCTCACCACAAAAATGATAACTATGTGAGGTATTGGATATGTTTGTAAGCTAGAGTTAACTATTCCACTATGCATATATGTACTTCAAAACATCATATTGTATACAATAAATATGTACAATTTTATTGTCAATTTAAAATTAACTAATGTAAAAAAATTTGTAGATGTAATTAAGGAAACAATATTTCTAATCTTTAAGGAAGAACATATTTTTAAAACCACATAAAAACATGAGATCTAAGCTCAATAAGACAATAATTTGATGGCATTGTGGCAAAATTCTAGGCAAACTGTTTATGAGAACTCTTTACAAGAGCAAACACTGATGAGTTAGGGCCAGAATGCATCTTTAAACAACAATTTATGTTAAAGTAACTATTTTTGCATGGGTTATTAGACTGAAAATAGGAGAAATTTTGTGAACATAAACTATTTTATTTCTGCAAGGCATTCATTGGAAAGTTTTGTAATATTCTTGCAGGCAAGATGGAGAAGTATGGGCTGAGTGATAATCCTGTTAGGTGGATTAACAACTGGTTAAAGAACTCACACAATAGCATGCAGATTGATGGGAGCCTCAAATGTGTTCAACAGGGCTCCAATATGAGCTATAGTTTAATGAACATTTTTCTGATTATGAGGATAAAGAGATCAAAGCCTTCTTATCAAATATGTATAAGCCACAACCTGGAAACCTTAACGAATATACTAGATGAAGAAAACTTGTTCAAACATATCTCGATTGATGGAAATCCTGGTAGTAGGCATGCATGTAAAGTATAACAAGCTTAGTTTAAAACAATGAATTGAGCAAGTATCAGATGGGGAGTCTTCATGAAAGTAAAAGAACTGAGTGCCTTCATTGCCTGAGAGCTCCAAGCAAGGAGCAAAAAAGTATCACCTATTTTTATTTGTATCAGTCAGGATTCTCCAGAGAAAAACAGAACCAATAGGTGACACATATACACACACCTGTACACACACACCTATACACACACACACACACACTAATTGGCTCACAGGATGGTCAAGGATGAAATCAGGCTGGCTGGAAATTCTGGCGGGAGTCAATATTGCAGTCTTGAGATTGCAGGCAGTCTGGAGGCAGATATCCTTCCTCTTTTGGGGACCTCAGTCTTTTCTTTTAAGGCTTTCAACTGATTGGATGAAACCCACCCACAATATGGAAGGTAATTGGCTTCACTCAAAATCTACCCTTCACAGAAACATCTAGGCTGGGATTTGACCAAACAACTGGGCACTGTATCTTAGGCAAGTTGACACATAAATTAACCATCACAATATTATTCATGGAATATTGAGCTGCAGTGATATAATTATTTTATCCAGATTAGTAAGGTCAATATTTATTGTACTGCTCAGAGGACATTTTATATTTAGTTCTGGATAACATAGTTCATGAAGCTCATTTCCAGTGGAGCAAGTCAAGAGATGAATTGATTGAGATGGTGAATATCTAGGAATACTTGCCACTTAAAGAATAATTGGAGAAACTGTGATGCTCCTTAGGAAGGATAAGACTGAGATAAGCTCTATTAGTCAGAACTCTTTTGGTTGGAAATGATTCATATTGACTTAAGAGAAAAGGGAAATTGATTGACTTATGTAACTGAAAAAAACAAAAGTAGACCTGACATCAGGCTCAAATGATATCCGGTTATCAAACCATGTCTTATCTTTTTCTTCTATCTCTTGGCTTTGACTTATTTGGTTTTATTTTCAGGAAAATACCTCTGCATGAGGTGATGCCTGAAATTCTGAGCTTGTATCATTCTAAAACTTTAACCGTGAATAAGAAGAGAGATTCTCTTGCTGAAGGGCTTCATAAAAACAACCAGAATTGTCACTTTAAAAGGATGACTCACCATGATCAAGTGGGATTTATCCCTGGGATGCAAGGATGGTTCAACATATGCATGTCAATAAATGTGATACATCACATTAACAGAATGAAGGACAAAAACCATATTATCATCTTAGCAGATATAGAAAAAAACATTTGATAACATTCAACATCCTTTTGTGAAAAAAATCCTCATCAAATTAGGTGTAGAAGCAATGTATTGCAACACAATAAAGACTATATATCACAAGCTCACAGCTAACATTACACTCAATAGTGAAGAGTCAAAAGCTTTTTCTCCAGTATAAAAAATAAGACATAGATGCCCACTCTCACCACTTCTATTCAGCATAGTACTGGAAGTCCTAGACACAGCAATTAGAAAACAGCAAAAAAAAAAAAAAAAAAAAAAAAAAAAAAAAAAAAAAGGCTTCCGAATCAGAAAGGAAGAAGTTAAATTGTCTCTGTTTGCAGATGACTTGATGTTATATATCAAAAGCCCTAAAAATGCCACCAAAAACTGTTAGAACTAATAAACAAATTCAGTAAAATTGCAGGATACAAAATCAATATATAAAAATCAGTAGTATTTCTACATACTAACAATGAACTATCCCCAAAAGAACCTAAGAAAACAATACCATTTACAATAGCATAAAAATATTTAGCAATAAATTTAACCAAGGGCATCAAAGACCTATACTCTGAAAACTCTAAAACCAATAAAACATTAATGAAATAAATTAATGAAGACACAAATGAATGGAAAGATATCTTGTGTTCACAGTTTGGAACTGTGAATTATATTGTTAAAATGTCCAAACCACTCAGAGCAATCAACAGATTCAATGCAATCCCAACAAGATTACAACGAATTTTTTCACAGTAATAGAAAAAAAATTATTAAATTTGTATGGAAGCACAGAAGACCCTGAATAGTCAATGAAATCTTGAGCAAAAACAACAACAACAACAACAACAACAACAACAAAAACAAACAAACAAAAACAAAGCTGGAAGCATCCCAATGCCCTGATCTCAAAATCTACTAGAAAGCTATTATAATAAAGACAGCATGGTACTGGCACAAAAACAGACATATGGACCAGTGGAACAGAATTAACTGCCCAGAAATAAATCCACTTATTTACAGTTAAATGATCTTTGACAAAAATACTAGGAATACACAATGGGGATAGGATTGTTTCTTTAACAAATAGTGTTGAGAAAACTGGGTATGAATATGTAGAAGAATGAAATTGGGCACATCTTACCCACATACAAAAGTCAACTCAAAACAGATTAAAAAATGATTTCAGTGTAAGGCCAAAAACTGTAAAACTACTAGAAGAAAACACAGGAAAAATCCTTCTTGATATTGGTCTGGGCAGTGAATTCTTGGATATGACCCCAACAAAAGTAAAAATTGACATATGAGATGGTATCAAACTACAAGGCTTCTGCACAACAAAACAATTAACAGAATGAAGAAACAACCTACAGAATGGGATAAAATATTTGCAAACTGTACACATGATAAGGAGTCAATATCCAAAATATGTAAAAAAACTCAAATACAAAACCTGATTAAAAATGGACAAAGGACCTGAATAGATATTTCTCAAAAGAAGACATACAAATGGCCAACAATATATGAAAAAAATGCTTAACATCACCAACCATCAGGGAAATGCAAATTAAAACCACAATGAGATATAATTGCAAAGTTGTTAGAATGGCATTTATTAAAAACAAAACAAAACAAAAGATAACAAGTATTGCCAAGAATATGGAGAAAAAGGAACTCTTGCATACTGTTCATGAAAATGTAAATTAGTGCAGCCATTTTGAAAAACAGTATGGAGTTTCCTAAAAAATATTAAAAATAAAACTACCGTATGATCCAGTAATTCTGCTCTTGGGTATATATCCAAAGGAAGTGAAATTAGTATCTTGAAGAGATGAGGTACCTTTACTCCTGTGTTCATTGTAGCATTCTTCACAATAGCTAAGATATGGAATCAACCTAAGTGTCTTTAAATGGATGAATGGATAAGGAAAATGTGGTGCCGTGTGCGCACGTGTGCGCATGCACACACACACACAGACACACACACAAAATGGAATACTGATCAGTCTTTAAAAGAAGGAAATCTGTCATTTGCAACAATACAGATGAACCTAGATGACGTTATGCTAGGTAAAATAATCCAAGTACAGAAAGACAAATTCTGCACTTGTATGTAAAATTTTAAAAAGTCGAACTCAGAAGCAGAGTAGACTGGTGGTTACCAGTGTCTGGGTTGGATTAGGGGTGGGTGGGAAGAGGGATTGGGGGGCTGTTGCTCCAGGGCACAAAGTTTCAGTTAGATGGGAGGAATAAGTTCTAGAGATCTGTTTTACAGTGTGGTAACTATAGTGAATAATATTGTATTATATACTTGAAAATTGCTGAAAGAGTAGATTTTAAATGTTCTAACCACAAAATAAAAAATAAGGAATAATATTCTCATAGGTATGTGGTGTAAGGTAACCAGTGTCCTGCCCTAGAAGAAGAACCCTCAATCCCTGCAAACTACCACATGGATTAAAATGAGAAAAGTGTGGCGCTAAAGGAAAATTTGATATCATTACCAGCAGGGAGATGAATGGGTTCTGGCTAGGGAAAAATGGCATTGTTCACTACAAAGGACTTGGTATCTATTTTCAAACATTTGTGGTGCTATAATATATGGAAAAGATTAGGATTTTTCTAGGTACCCTCAAAGGGAAGAACTGGCATCAATGGGAAGAAGTTAAGGGGACACAGATTTGGCCTGTACCTAAGGAATAATATTCTCATAAGTATGTGGTGTAAGGTAACCAGTGTCCTGCCCTAGAAGAATTTAAGGAGAAATCTGATGGATATTATAGAGGTTTATTCCTGTTTTGAACTCAAGAATTGCCTAGATACATTAGACAATTCCTTCTGTTTCTACGACTTCTCATTCTGTTCTGCCCACATACATGTGTGTCAAGGCATGCACACAGCTTCGTGTTTATTAGATAACTTAAGAGGGATATTTACTCCAGTTGCCTGATAAGGGTATGATCTAATGTCAGTTGTTTTTGAATTGTTACTTCTGTGCTTGCTGACTTGTCTCCTTATTTTTCAGTTCTTTTTGATATAGGCTTACCCAAGACATAAGTAGCTTCAGATGTGGCATGTGAATTTAGTGCTGATTAGGAGAAATGGAGTGGAAAGATAGACGGGTGGGGTTCACTTTCTCCCTGTGTACAGGTGACTTCCACAAATGAATACAATATTCAATTTCCATTTTATATTTTAGATCTGGTACCGAACACTGAGAGAATGTAGACTATAAGGAAGAAATAACACTAAAGGGAAGCCCTCAAAGATAATTCCATCATCCATAACACTAGGCGCTTCCTGGCATTATGACTAATAAAACTCAGCTAAAAACATGTTCTAAATATTTTTATGTGCAAAAAATAGAAAACTGTAATAATATAATGGCTGTTATTTTAAACCATGATTATAAAATGCCCCCGGGACAAAAATGCCTAATTATGAAATAAAACAACTTTTGTATCCCTCAGGCAATGTTTTCAAACTATTGCTGTCTCTACAGTAGTCACTATAATTAGTCCAATTCCCCTGAAGAAATGAAAAGTGCAGGGGATTTCCTTTAGGGCTGTAGTGCGGGGCTGTGTCTTGGATTAGGACCAAATGGACTAGTAAAAAGTTAGTGTGAAATAAATGTAACAATATCAGGGGTCAGAGGAAAACTTCTATCAGGAATTAGCTAATATTTCTTTGAGTTGTGATATTCATATGTTTGCCTTTCAAGCAGGTGAGTGCAGAGTTATGAATTCTAGAAGCTGAATGACCTTTGGTGAAAGTTTATTCCCAACACAATTTAGCTGTGCCATCTCTCCATGCCTCAGCTTTCCCATCTCACAAATGGGGTTAAAAATGTCTCTGCCTATTTATAAACATGCAGACTTAAAAAACATCTAAGAGGCAAGAATTGGAGGGAAACCTTCAAGATTGCTTCTGTGTTTCTCTCTGAAATATCTTACTTACAGTGCTATAGTATTAGATGGGGCAAATATTCTAGAATTATGATCATCATTATTAGGACAAATTTTTAAAATATTGCTACCTGGAATTTATTCCTACTGAATTATTTCTAAAGATGCTTATTTAGAATTATTTTGTGTATTATTTGTTACAATATATTGTATAATTTTTTTTCTACTCTAAAGTCAGGCAATGCAGTCCCACATTTTAAAATGAGTTGGATACTTTCTAGCTCCCAGAGATCATTGCTGTTTTCTCAAGCTAAGGTGCTGTGCCTTCTATGTGGGTTTCCTTTAGTTGACTTTGGATCTGTAGCTGTTTCCCTTTCTTAATTTGTTCTCAGAATGGTAGTTGAATACAGTCTATGTGTCAGTTGAGGTCCTGGAAGGAAACTGGGTAATTTGAACAGAATTTCACAAAGGGACATTTTACAACAGTGTGTTCAGATGGTAGAGAAATGACAAGGTATAATCCAGAATGATTGAAAGGAGGAGTTCCCAGAGTCCCGAGAGAGAGACTTATATGGAGAGAGGGTTGCCTGACAAAACCTTTGACCTTCAGTCTAGAGACAGAGCCAGCCTGTAGTGACACTGCAGAGAGGGAGCTGGATGAATGAATACTGACCTCCATCTTTTCCTCTCTCTGATTTCCTGTCTACTCTAATGAGCTCTTCTCACTGGAGAATCCAACTGGCTGCCTGAATGGAGGAAGCGTGCTGATGTGGAAATCCATAGAGGTCAGCCTCCCAAGTACCCAGAGGGGAAGAGTGCACAGTGAATTTGGATGGGGCTAGCAGAAAAGGTCCAGTGCTGTCTATAGTAACAACCACTTTTCAAAAGCAGAAATGGAATAATAGGCCGCTACCATATTTGACTAGGTTTGAAATGAAACCTCAGAGGTGGCTATAGGAGAGTTTCATTATCCTATTAGAGAATAAAACACACATTTAGATCTCTGGTCAAGGGATGTAGCCTGAGAGTTTATCAAGCCATGGCTTGTTGCAACAAGCCCCCCACAAGATCCAGTCCTCAGTTTTCCTGCTTGCTTCCTTCTGGTTCTTATTTTCATCTTCTGCAACATGAAAGAAATTTGCCTGGATTTAGAAATATCACATATTAGAAAGGTTTGAAAGATAGGTGTCTTACACTGGGTCAATCATCAAAACTGGCTCAACCAGTTTTCAAAAGACCATGGAGAAGATACGGGAATATTAGACACTGAGAGCACTATAGGTGACAGCTCAGAATATGAGATGATTTAAAAGGTTACCTATGGCAAGAAGGCATATCCAGGGAGATTTTCCCCTGTCTTTCCCCACCCCTTAGCTAATCCTATGAAAATGAAACATTTTTAAGAGGGTAATACTAAGTCCAGAAAACCAACCATCTTATTCTTTTCTTTTTCTTTTTCTCTTTAAAATTAGGTAATTCATTTCTTAGAAGGATTTTCTCTACTTGTTAAATATTGGCTTTACTCAGAAAGGGTAATAATTTCAATAATCATTTTCTTTTTCTTTTTATTCTTCTTCTTTTTTTTTTTTTTTTTTTTTTTTTTTTGTGAGATGGAGTCGTGCTCTGTTGCCCAGGCTGGAGTACAGTGGCGTGATCTCCGCCCACTGCAACCTCCACCTCCTGGATTCAAGCGATTCTCATGCCTTAGCCTCCCCAGTAGATGGGATTACAGGCATGTGCCAGCACGCCGACTAATTTTTGTATTTTTAGTAGAGACGGGGTTTCACCATGTTGGCCAGGCTGGTCTCGAACTCCTGACCTCAAGTGATCCGCCTGCCTCAGCTTCCCAAAGTGCTGGGATTACAGATATAAGCCACCACATGATTATAAGCCCAATAATGATTATAAGCCCAATAATCATTTTATAATTATTATCTGATTATATTATGTTAACTATTATATCACTTATGTTAATTTTACAAGTAACAAATATCTTCAAATAAAATATCTATTTTAAAGGGTCTCCTTAAACACAAAGCTATGTCCATTATTGTTTTCTTCAAAATTTTTATTTCCTCTCTTTCACTTATCTTAAATCTCAAATCTGGGGAACATGGTGTTGACTCACCCATGGTTTCAAAGTTTTCACAATTTACTCTTGAGTCATAGATATGTTTTGAGAATAAATAAAATCATACCTGTAAAAGTATTCTGAGCCTTGATGGAGAGGAGTTATATGAATTCAAGGTGGCATTGTTAACCAAAGAAGCCATTACTCTCCACATAGGAGTACAGGCAGAGCATAGGAAGATCCCTGGGAGGGTGTCATCTTTCAAAACCTGTAGTTCATTTTACAAATAACAAAGTGAATGAGCACTGTCTGAATTGTAGGGTAGATGCCTGCAGATACGAGAGACATCTTGTGTGTGATGCCTTATTTGACAGAAGGGAACAATATAGAAATGCATCTCTAACTCTGAGATTCTTTCCAAGAAGATAAAATAGGATTTGGTCTACTAGAGTGGACATCTAGTTAGGCTATGATCATGATTTAAACTTTGAAGCTGCCCAGGACTTGTGAATTCAGAGATTAGCCCCTGGATTGCTCATCAGTTATGAGTCATAGGACTGTGACCTTTCTCATGTTGTCACGACCAAGAGGTCACAAGAACCAGAAAAATCTAACTGGAGGTTAGTCTTAGCCAAATGGAGACTGACAAACTCATAAGGGGAATTGAGATCAATATTTCTCTTCATGTGTTTAGTTCTAAGAGCTTCAGAGAAAAAAGGTTTATTAAAATCTCAGAGCATAATTGGTCTTACGAAAGCTATCAGTACACTGAAAATCAAATTGTGGAAGAGAAGTTAATTCATTTCCCAAAGTTAGCATTCTCTCTTGCTTAACCTAAGTCAGTAGAAAAGTGTGACATTGGATTGGTATGAAATTTATCTTCCTAATCAGACCAGTGGGTTATTTTGAAAGCTCTTTTGACGTGATGTGGTTGATATAGCATCATTGGAACAGAATTTTTTTCTGGTTCATTTTCCTTTTTTTTTTTTCTATATTTGGAGAGAAGATGCTGAAATTATAAGCTTGTGGCTTAAAGTTTTTTGAATTTTATATCTGAAGGTAGAGCTGTATCTGTAAGAAATTTATGTGTTTTAAAAAAATAAAAAATAGAATGATTTATAGGGACGTGAATGGAGGTGGAGGCCATTTCCTTAGCAAACTGACACAGGAACAGAAAACAAAATACCACATGTTCTCACTTAAAAGTGGAAGCTAAATGATGCGAACACATGGATACATAGAGGGGAACAATAGACACGGGTCCATCAGAGGGGAGGGAGTAGGAGGAGGGAGTAGGAGAAGGGAGAAGATCAGGAAAAATACCTGATGGGTACTAGGCTTAATACCTGGGTGATGAAATAATCTGCACATCAAACTCCCAAGACACAAGTTTACCTCTGTAACAAACCAGCACTTGCACCCCTGAACTTAAAAGTTAAAGAAATAAAAAAAATTTTAAAGTGTGTGGCTATCTAGTTTTGAGAAGATGTAAACCTGAGTAAAGAGATCAGGAGTAGTTGTGAAAAGGGAGGGGAAGCAGGAGATATTATAGAAGAGAATTGCCTGAGTGTTGGGGTGGGGAGGCAAATCAGAGATAATTCCAGGGCTTTGTGTCTGGGTGCCTGAGAGAATCCCATTCACATGAATAGAACAAGGAGGTTTGAGGGCAAATTGTTTCTAGAGGGTGAAGGTAAGATGGGGAAAGAATATACAGTAGAATCTTGACATTCACAGATACAACTTTTACAGCATCTATTCCGTAATGACATTACAATGTTTCATGATGTGTTAGCTTGTAACAGTGATGGTAACTCCCTTATTGAGTTGTGAGGATTAACTGAGACAACGTATATAAAGTGTTTAGGGATGATGATTATGATCATCATCATGGCAAAATGTTAAGCAAGTATTGAACAATGATTATGTGCCCAATATCGCTGTAGGATTGTTGCACATAATAACTAATTTAATTTTCTGATGGCTGTAAGAAGTAGACACTGATAGTATCTCATTTTACAGGTGGGGAGATGGAAGCATAGTATGAGGTGAAGCAACCTTGCTTGAGATTATATTAAGAAGACCTCAGACTCAATTCAGGTAGTCTGACTCTAGAATTCAGCTCCTAATCGCTCTCTTCTAGAGACTCCTGGGCAGAATTTGAACTGACAATTCTACAAGACTGCAGAGCAGTAGCAAATTTTCAGGAGCAATCCTAGCTAATAGCCCTGCATTTGTATCTCAGTTAGTAAACTCATGAATTTGAGGATGCTCAAATGATCCGGGGGAAGTCGATGGGCCTATGAACATAAAAGAAAAGGCTTCAGCACTTTGGCAAATTTATAAAGACACCTAGTCAATTCTTTAAAATACTCAGAAATAAAAGGGTTCACAGTAATGTAATCATAATTTCAGCTCTCTTGGTGTTAATTTATTTGACAAATGTTTTTGGAGCAGCACCTATTGCAGTGCTAAACACTATGGGGCATTTCATGGTAAAGAAGAACATGCTTTCGTTTAGCAAGCTCACTGTGTAGTGGGAGAGACCGATGAATGAAATGCAAATACAATCTTGTGATGTAATGAATAGGTGGAAATAAGTAGTCAACTAACTTGGTCTTAGGAGGGTCAGATGTAAAGCTTTCTGGAAGGAATGATGTAAAAATCTGGAACTTGAGGGATGAATAAGGGATTAGTGCAGGCAAAATGAGAAGGGAAGTGGAGAACTGAGACAGAACAGGCTGTGCTGTGCTTTTGAAACTAAGTAAGTTCACTGTGGCTGAAAGATACAATTTGCGGGGGGTGAGCATCAGATAAAGCTGGAGAAGTGCGCAGCAGCCAGATCACGAAGGCTTTCGAGGATGCGGTGAGGAGTTTGATATCTATCTTGAGAACTAGTAGAAGCTGCTGATGTGATTTAAGCAGAGAAGTGCTATGGTCCAGTAGCATGCTTGCAATATATCCGAAACACACAGATATGCTGGTCTAGTACTAATCTTGCAGGGCCTTTGGAGAGTACATTATTATTTATTCCAAACTCACACTGAGAACTCTTAACATCTATAAAGAGCTTGTAAACTCTATGAAAGAAAGAGAAACCTGCACCTAAATCTTAGCATGCAGCATGCCCTCATTTTCTAATCAGCATATTTTCATTCTGTTGTAAACAGAAGAAAAAATGTGAACAGTCAGATTGTTTCACTGCAAAACCACCAGCTGTTTGTCCGGAGAGGTGATTGAACTTGATTTCTAGCCTTAACTGTGCTCTGTGACATTGGGACAAATCAGTTAGCCATCTTAGGCCTTGGTTTTCTTATTTGCAACATGAGAAAGTTGAAGTGAATGACCATGTAAGTTTTCTTTAAATTCTAAAATTCACCTACTGTGGTTTGAAACTTCCCAAACATCACAGTCACGTGGAAAGGGAATATTTTTTATAACATGCTGCTCTTTTCATTGTTTCTTCCTCTTCCTCTTGGGCGGTTTCAGTGGTGGTTCTTGTTGCAGAAAGGAGCTGAAATGACAATAGGATATTCAAGCTAAACATAAATTTAGAGACTGTCTTGTCCATTATTACATGTGATGGGCGAGGACACTGAGGCTCCTTATTAATGTCACTTATACAAATTTCAGTAGTGGGTCAGCGACAGAGTGAAGTCCAGAACCCCAGAGTCTTCTGACCGCTACCCAGTCCTCTTTCGACTCTTGGGGATCACGTTCCTCACCTCTGCTAGTGATGTAGGGTGACATTGCAGGTAATCAATTCGGAATAAAGTTGGGTGCCATGGATGATTTCAGCTGCTCTTAAGTAGAAGTGACCGTATCACTGCCAGTTAGGGCTGCTGTTCATTTTTCTGGCTTCAAGTTCCTTAAAATTTTTTTTTCTCTCTTAATCTTGATGAGTGATTTTTCCTTTTGTGCTGTTATCCTCTCTAGTTTCTCTAAAAGGATTTTTTTTCTCCTCCCCTCACCCCCAGTTCTCTTACATCAGAAACAGAACGATCTCCCTCTTAGTTGGGGAAGCTGGAAGCCTCCAATCTGCAGCCTTTAGATAACCAGCTAATTAAGGGAAAGCAGGTGTGGATGAATCTATTCAGCCTGTAAATAAGTGCCAAAAATTAAAGTTATTGGTCTGTGAGTGCTAGCAGGTGGAAGCACTGCTTTATACCTTTAATAGAGGAGGGGAGAAGAGGGGGTTAGAAGGCCTTAAGTGTAGGGAAGAAAAAAATTACTTTTATGACTAAAAGCTCTTCAAAAGAGAATGCGTCTATTTCTAAATCATTGTCTTGTTTGGGATTAATCCTAAAGACATATAATTGCCTGCCCTAAGAGTGTAGTGTTCTCTGAGCAGGGCTCCATGAACTGCATGGCTTGAGCAGAAATAATTCATAGTCTCAAGCTGATACTCACTAGCAAAACCCACGATTGACTACAGACCTAAGTGCCTGTGTTCTTTTGTGATTTCTCTTCCCAATTTCTTACATATGCTCAGATGCCCAAAGTTCCCTATCTGCAAAACCCCTCACTTAAATGCTGAGAAAAATGATCTACTGTTGCATTACTTCATGCATTACTTAATAAAGCAATTTGAAAATAAAATTTATATGAGGAATTGAGTTCCTGGGAGCATACTTCTCCCTTTGTCATTTCTTTTCTATTCCTGATTTTTTCTCTTTTTTCCTCCTCTGTGTTTAATAATTTATTTCAGCATTTTGAAACTGGAGGACATTTTTCAGTAGGGTGTTATGGCAGAAGACCACAAAAGCATCATATATCACGCATTTGAAATACATTAATATACGGCTGAAATGCTAACCCGCACAATGGAATAATTATAGTGTATCTTCATTGAAATTGTACACATGGCTTTGTGATCATGCTCATTAATTTAGATCCAAATGAAGCAAAATTATTCTGCATAGCTGCTGAGTTAATTTATGTGATATAAGTATAAAGTTAAATAAAGTGTGGTAGAAAATGAGATTGAGGCTCAGCAATTAGGTTCAGAAGAAGAGGTTCACTCATCTCCCCAGGCTCCCTGGTTCCTCTTTCCTGCAAGGATTATTCATGTTATTGCAAAAATTTGTCCATTTTAATACTGTATCTTAGAATGTCTTGATTGACATTCTGAAGCATCTTCTTCACAGCTAATCTTTTGGGAGGAGGAATAAAGCACCAGTGTGATAGACGCTTTTGCTTGGGACTATTCAAATATCCAGGTAAAAGAACACAATAGTTTTTCTGTTGATGTGAGCCTGAACTCCTGTCAGGATGGGGAAAATGCTGTGCTACTCTGAGTGTTAATTTTAGGGGCTTGAAAAACTTATAAGTGAAGTGCATGTGTGTCTTGTTTCAAAAGACAAAAAATAGGCCATTTTTTAATTTAAAAAGAAACTGTGTCACCACGATTTTCTACTAGGGCAATAATGTATGTAGGACAGGTCTTATAAAATGCTACCCCATTGCTTTCTATCTTCTTCCAGCCCATTTCAAGGTACTTGAAAGTGATAACTAGTTTCAATTTTGTAATCAGTGGAAAAATAATTTATCTTACAAGATAGAGGGGTGATTATATTTCTATACATAGAAATGAGACCGATTTTGAATCTGAATACCATTTAAAGGTGGCATCCACAAAAGCCTCTATTCTTCATTTCTCTGAGAGAAAAGCAGACTTAATTCAATTAGAAAAACGTTCATTGGCCCCAATTCTGGAGATGCAAAGATAAATAAGACATGGCCTGTACCTGCCTGATTGCTTGAATCTAATAGATCAAAAGAAAAGAAAAGGACATGCAAATAGTGAGCAAACTCCTGACATAGCCTGGAGATGGTTCAAACGGCAATAGAAATAGTCAAAGAGAAATACTTCAGATCTAAGTGGGGTGAGATAAGGACAGGCTTCACGAAGAAAATGACCTTTGGTATTGACCTCTAAGGATGGCATGGGCTCTGATAGGCAGATAGGACACAGAGACTGGGGACAAGGGGGACACATAATGAGGCAAAGTAGTCAAGAGTCCTGCAAGTTGTTGGAGTACAGGGTCCGGGGTGGCGAAGCAATCATGAGAAGTGATTCTAGAAAGGTAAACTGGGATAGCACTGTGGTGATTCTGAAGGCTGGGTTGAGGCATTTTTATTTGACTTGGAGGAAAGGAAGAGACAGTGAAAGTTTGTGAGTACGTAAGTACTGTTAGTGATACGGGGGTGGATTAAAACAGATACTTTGGAAGCTGGGAGGTCATTTGGAAATTATGGCAACTCCTCAGGCAAGTGGTGGTGAAGCTAGGAAGATGTCAGTGGGAAAGATACCAGGGAAACTGTGGCAAGGGGATTTGCAGACCCAACTGGTTGGATGCTGGGGGAGGGGAAATGAGAAGAAAGGGCTAGATGGCGGTACTTTAACAGAAATCCAAAGGAGTTGCAGATTGTGGTGGGAAGGTAAATTCAGTTGAAAACTTATGCTTTTTGAGGTGCTTCTGGAACATTTAGGAACGATGTTTAGGAGTCAGTTGGAAGTTCAGGTTTGAGCTACTTTGAGAACTTGAGCCTAGAGGGACGCTTGGAAGGTCAAACACATAATGATAATGGTTGAAGCCATAGGAGTGAACGACATTGCTCTGGAACAAAAAGTAGAGTGAGAATAAAGCAAGATGTAATGACTTTGGAGGGAGATTAATTCACGTAGGGCAAGAAGCAGAAATGGAAGAACAGAGAGGAGTCATCAGAGACACAGGGGACCATGAGGATGTTGTAACTTCAGTGAGATGTGAGAAGAGAATTTCAAGAAGGACAAGGTGAAACAGGGTGGCTGATGAGGAGGACCACAGAGGCAAGACTATTGAATCTGGTATTCCAAAGGTCATGGTCACTTCAGTGTGATGATGGAGATGGAAAACAGATTGTAAACTGCTGAGGAGCAGACTGAATGAGGAAGTGGAGCAGTGGCTGCAGGGTGCCACACCTTCAAGGTGAATAAAGAATGCTGAGATCCACCTAGAAAAAGGGTTCTTTTGAAAAGACTGGATGTAGATCTTTGAGCCTTCTCTGATAGATTTCCACTGAAGTCCCCTGCTCCTTTGGTCATGAACTCCATCCCATCATTGATTCTCTCATCATTTGCTAAGATTATCTGGAGTAGGGAGGTCGTTTCTCAGTAAGAACCCTCTCCTCTCATATATCGACCATGAACATCTTTCTTATATTAAAAGACTTCATTTTCACATCTACATGTTGCTTTTCTGCCATGTTTCTGTAGAATCTCCTGCCATTGGTAAAGTTGAGGGTCATGTTCTGGAATATGGCAGCTCATACAGGTAGGAGTGCATTTAACTGCCACACAAAGATAGAGAGCCAGTTAGCCAAGAACCAAATTTCAAACCTACTCCCACTCTTCTGGAGTCTTTTTCAAGAGTTTGCCTTCCATTCAGTGGGGTTTTATGCCTCAGTCTACTTTGGAACTCTTAGATCTGTTCTCTCACAGGGACCAGTTATAAAGCCTGTATAAAATTTGAGTAATATTTTGATCGGAGGAATAGGAAGGAAAGAGGGAGAAAGATAATAAGGAAAATAATTAAATGGAATAGAGTAAGTACAGATTCCAAATTTATTTGACAAGCGTCTCCTTTCTATTGTTACCATGAATGGAGCGATTGTCCATTGCCTCTTTTGCCTTTCATTCTATCACTCTATTGACAATGTTTGTTGTTAATGCTGCTTTACTTAATGTGGAAAGTACAATGTCAAGGACTAAAAAAAAAAATAGTCAAATCTTCGTTCCCAGGAGTCTAAAGATAAATGGCAATACTTTCTGGCACTAACTTTTTACTTTAACCCTTTGGAATATTTTATTTCTCATTCTATTCTGTGCCACATGATTTATTTAATTATTGCCTTGGTTTAAGGCACTTGAAAATAAGGTCCTCTTTTGCATCCCAAGCAGTGTACAAAGTTTCAAGCATTCTCTCAGATATTATGAGATTACTCAGGGGAAAAGTGCTGCCTCAGCAGAAATGTTGTAGCTGTCACTGATTTGTGGAGACATCAAAAGGCAATGAAGGGAGACCAAAGACTGAATAAAGCAGTCATTTCAAGTATAAGTAATCCCAAGAACAAAGTTTTGCTCATTTATAGTTTCTACAATTTTAGAAAGTTAGTGCCTGGGGATTTTCCTTGGCCCCTTCTGTTTGTGTACAATTATCTTGAGATTGATTTTCTAGCAAATGATATGCTCAAAAATGAGAGTAATTCATGAGAATGTATTTATTCAGTGACTCATTAAAACTACATTCACATTTTTACTAAGCTATACAGTTTTGATTTTCTATGTGAGCTGCTTGGCATAGCAAATATATATATATATTTTTGCTTTGGAATGTTTATATTTAATTTTTATGATACTTTGGCCACTATTTCCTTTAAATTATCAGTCTAATTTTAACTTTTTAAAAAAACCTTAATATAACTCCCTTCCTCTATCTCTGTTCCCTTCTTCAATTAGCTGTAGTTCCCTATCCTCCTCTTAGGAATTTAAATGCCTCCTTTAGCAGCCTAAATTTGCCTACAATTAAAAATTCTGCCTCACAAAGCATGGTTTGTGCCCACTCACAATTCCCTGTGCTGACTCATCACTCTTTTGCATGACCTCTGTATCACCCTATATCTCTAATGTCTTCCTGTGCTGACCTTCCACCCCTGACTCGGATATACTTTGGCTTTAGGTTTGGGGAGTCCATGATAAGTATTTTTTCTCTGTTGTGAGCTGAATCATGTCTCCTCAAAAGGTATATTCAAATCTTAAGTACCTGTAAATGTGGAAATAGGATCTTTGCAGATGCGAGCAAGTTAAAATGGTCATACTGGATTGGGGTGAGTCCTAGTCCAATGATTGGTGTCCTTGTAAGAGAAGCACGTTTGGACACAGACAGATACACAGGGGGAACACTGTGAAAACAGAAGAAGAGATTAGAATGATGTACCTACAAGCCAAAGAATGCCAAGAATTGCCAGAAAACCACCAGAAATTGTTTCTCCTTTCTCCTAGGGAGAGAGGCATGAAGCAGATTCTTCTTTAGAGTCTCCAGAAGGAACCAACCTGGCCAGCACCTTAGTTTTATAATTTTAGCATCCAGAGTTGTGAGGGAATAAATTTCTTTTGTTTTAAGTGATCCAGTTTATACTACTCCTAGGACAGCAGCCCTAGGAAATGAATACACCTTTCTTCTATATATTTATGACAAATTATTTAATGTTAACAAAAATAAAATTAGGCCTCTGGGTAATCAAAGAATGGAAACTGATGTTTGCCATTTTAACTAGAAATAGAATGTATTGGGATGATGGAATCAGCTTATGGAATCAACAAGAAAGCTGGAGAACTGGGCTGGAGACCAGGGCACAGAGGCAAGCCATGGATCAGTTTTGAGGCATCATGGCTACTGAACATACCCTATCACTGTGGCTGAACTCCTTTATCTTCACAGTAAAATCCATCTATGATTTTGCTGACTGTGAACTTGAGTTAGCCCTTCAGGGGTTCATCTACCAGTGAGAGCGTTACAGGTTGAGCCTCGGCCATGGGTCTGTGCCTTGGCTGGGAAGGGGTAGGGACGCATCTCTTGTGACTCCAAGAGTAGGGAGCAGTTCTTTCTGGTGACTCTTATCTGAACTTGTCTAAGAATCTGTGTAAAAAAAAATTCCCACTGGACATTTGTTAAACATGGCAAGACAGATTTTATTCAAGCTATTGCAGCAGGGGAGAAAGATGTCAGGACTTAGCTGAGCTCAATTCTAAATACAGCAAAGACAGCTGGGTACTTATAGCCGGCAAGCAAAGTGAAGGGGTCAGTGGATGAAAAATGACAAGAGGAACTTGATCACATATCAAAAGTGGCGGAACTTAGTAAACTGACTTTAACAAGGAGTCTTTGCTAAAAGTGAGCTCAACGAGACAAAGTTGAGGCCTGGTTGAGCAGAAAGCTCCAAGGAGCCTGTCTAAAGTTTGGCCAGGGAGAGAGTCTTCCTCACCTGTTCACACCCAAGAGATGTGAATAAGAAGATAATGGCCTAGTTGTCTTGATAGTGATCTATTAGGAACTTGAAAGAAAGAGGCAAGCAGCACCTTTTAAAGGGAATCTGCCTTGACTTGAAAATGAGTGTTAATTGTCACTAGTTGGAGTCCGAAATAATGTTGCTTTGATATTATTTACCCGGCATGATTCAGCCCTTACTTAGACTCTCCTGTAATTTGTCTGGTTGGGGGAAGTTGTGTTCCTTTTTGATGTTCCCTTTTTCTTTTAAAACTTCCAACCTTCTTCAGCACCTAAAGAAGAAAGGATAAACCTGTCCCCTGTGTGGGTTTTTCTCCATTTTCCCAGACCAATTCTCTGCCATCCTCTCCCAACTTGTTTCCTCAGGAGGCTCCTCTGCCTGGACTGGCTTCTCACTGGGGTTGACCAGTGGGAGACACTGGTAAATTGAAGGGCAGAGGAGAGAGAGGTCTTGGCTCTCTACTTTGAGGGCATGGTTCTGGCAGCAGTTATATCTTCTGTGTCCATGGCTCCTGGCAAGGATCCAGCTTTCAATGGAGCCCCATGACAGCTTCTTCCATTTACTCATTCAGTCTAAGTATGGAAATTACTTCTCTCTGGTTCCCTTCATCCTATCCATAACTCTGCAAGTAATCTCTTCATTAAAAATCTCTTTTGTTCAGCCATCAGACCTGTATCATTTCCTGTAAACCCGCTGGGCGCTTGGCCCAATTATCTTCATACTTAGCTATTCTCTTCTCTCAACCATTCTTTCTCAAAAATATTGAGAACTATTCTTTCTCAATAGAAAGAACAGAATATTCTTTCTATTCTTCAAAATTCCAATCAAAACCCATTTTCTCTTTAAAGCCTTCCCAGAAAGCCTTGCTACTTCCAAAACATTTTCAATGGGTACACTTTCTTTTGAGATATTTGTATATCTGTGTATTTTTACTTCCAATTTGCTCAACTCTATAATTAGATTTCAAGTGCCTCAAGGTTGGGAACTGTGTATACTGTTTAATTTAAAATACTCTTTTTAAAAATTACCCTGCCCAATAGGCCTCTACAAGATCTTGCATGTGCTGTATGTGGTAGGATAAATTGACTGAAAAAATCAAGTCCAAGAGTATAAAAAGTCACATTTTTGCATATTGTAGTTGTGGAATATGTTGCATTTAATATTTATTATAGGAGATGCTTTGAATTTCTAGAAAGCAAAGTATAGGCAATTATATTCTCAAGGATTTTTATGATTTAAGGAAGTGGGGAAAAAAGTTTGTTTGTTCTTAAGTCAACTACTATGCCCCTTTTAACTAGCTGTGATGAGTAAGAATCATGAAAACCTACAATATAAGGAAAATGCCAGTTCCATGGCAGGCAAGTGTTGCACTATTAATAGTGGATTAGAAAAAGAAGCCAGAGCTTTGTACTTCTCTCTTAGTGCAAAGGCAACCTAGCATGGTAGAATGTACATAGACCTTGGTATTACATAGACTTGAGTTGGAATCCACTTTCACAGTGTAATACTTAGAAGATTTCCTAACTCTCTGGGTTTCAGTTTCCTTACTGGTAAAGGGAGGAAATCCATCTACTTTTCAAGACTGTTATGAAGAATAATGAATCATAACTTAATGTCCATAGACATCTGGCTAATGGAAGGGCTGGCAAATATGTTTCCTTCTCACCTCCTCTTTCTGCCTATGCAACCAGTCAGTGTAATTTCTCAGCTGTCTGTGTTGGGCCCTTGCATTGGGTCAAGTTCTTTGCAAGATGGTTCCTGGTGTCTAATAAGTGATTGTATTATCCATGGGCTGGTGCATGTCAAATGACCCTTTTCACTATGGTAGTGGGAAACTAAAAGAGGGGAATGATTATGTAACAGAGCTTCCTATGAATGTTTGGAGAAGCAATTTTTATGTAGCTTGTTGTACTTCTTCCTTGCTTAGAATCACTGTTGAAGCCTCACTAGAAATGGAAAGTTAGCTTGGGATAGTGGGGAGAATAGCACTTTAAGTCCGAAAGTTTATTTTGAAGTTCAAATGGGATACACACACACACATACACACACACACACACACACACACACACACACACACACATACAGGTTGAGTATCCCTTATCCAAAATGCTTGGGACCCGAGGTGTTTGGGTTTCAGATTTTTTTTTTATTTTGGAATATCTGCATTATACCAGTTCAGCATCCCAAATCCAAAAATCTGAAATCTAAAATGCTCCAATGAGCATTTCTTTTAAGCCTCTTGCCAGTGCTCAGAAAGTTTTGGATTTTGGAACTTATGGATTTTGGGTTTTCAGATTATACACACACAAAGAGTCATAAAAGGAACTGAGGAGGGAAACAGCTGACTATGACAGAATGACAAGCTTCCTGCCATATAACATATGAAGATGAAATCTTAAGCTACTAGCAGTGTGACTCTGGGCTAGTCATTTGTCCCCCATGAGACCCTAATGCAGAGTCTTTGCTCATTTGAATTCAACATGTATTTACTTAGCACCTGACTCATTTAAGTCACTCAGCTAGAATATGAACTCTACCTTATGTCAAGGCTTTCATCCTACCAGGTGGTCTATTGAGTTAATTAGCCATCTTGAATCCTATGCAAATACTTTTACTGAACTCTTATAAAACAAACAAACAAACAAAATATCCTGCTTAGACTGGAACTATGTAACAATAATTTACTTAAGCGTATTCAGATACTTTCTAATTTATGTACTTACTTTTCTTAGTGAAATGAAACAGAACTCTAACTATGTCCTTTCGTTGGATTTCCTTAGTTCCCATAATAGTTGAAGAAATAGTCCCAATCTCAGGAAGCATGGCCCAAGAAGCTCTACTCAGAATCAATTTTCTTGGTTAGGTGGAATTGGTTAGCACAATCTCCACCTCCTACTACCACGAGTCATGCTATGGGAAAAGGAAGTTGGCAGATAGACTTTAGGATGCCCCTCTCTGCTGATATGCACATCCTTATATATTTCCTCTTCTTGAGTGTGGGTGGAAGCTGTGACTTGCTTCTGACCAATAGAATAAAACAAAGGTAATGGATGTCACTCCTGCGATTATGTTATAAAAGATTCAGTCTTACTAATAGTCTTTCTCTAGAGACTCTCTCCCCTAGCTGGATTTGAAAAAGTAAGCAACCATGTTGGGAGGTACATGTGGCAAGTAACTGGGATAGCCTCTACTTGCTGAGGGTAACCTCCAGCTGACCACCAGCAAGAAGCCAGGACCCTCAGTCCTATGCTAAGGAAAAAAATTCTGCCAACAATCTGAGTGAACTTGGAAGTGGATTTTTCTCCAGCTGAGTCTCCAGAGGAAACCTCAGCCCCAGCTAACATCTTGAATAGCTAAGACTTTACAGCCCTGTAAGGCCCAGAACAGAGGACCTGCTAAGTTGTGCCTAAACTCCTGTTCTACAGAAACCATGAGATATAATAATAAGTATGCATTGCTTTAAACCTCTATGTTTGTGGTAATTTGTTACCCAGCAGTAGATAACTAATACAAGAAAGTAGGTAGTCTATATTATGCAATTTGTTATATAGCTGTTTATGATCAGAAAAATACACTGGGAATCTAAATTTCTTCAATATTTTAGAGTTACTTTCTTTTCAGTATAAGAAGCCAATAAGAAAATAATAGCTTCTTTGCAAACATTATAAACCACCCTTTTAAATCTGTTTTAGTCCTTTAAGGATACAAAACAGTTGTGAACTAGGAAAAACATGTTTTCTTCTCTATGCTTATAGTCTGATACACAAACATTTGGGATTAGGAGGGAAAGAAGATATTATTAAAT
Source organism: Homo sapiens (assembly GCF_000001405.40). Lineage (NCBI taxonomy): Eukaryota > Metazoa > Chordata > Mammalia > Primates > Hominidae > Homo > Homo sapiens. The sequence goes on from NC_000006.12 coordinate 18,646,189, forward strand.
GTCCATTGATGAGTGTTACATTGATTGCATGTGGCAATTTCCCTTCAGCAAAATATAGTGCATCAACCATTTGGAACTTTATTTAATATTTTTTCTCATTATTGATGCTTTTAGTTTGATGACACAGATACATTGGTAAAAACAGATGGTTTGGCAAAAGTCTGGGCTTTTGAGGCCTTATGAGCAAGGCACTGCCCTCATACAGCATCAAAGAGCTTCCATGGGCAGGAACCTTTCTTTTTAGTGATCCACAACAACCTCCCAGAGATAGGAAGCTGGGGCCCAGGCACTAAAGTCTAATGAGCCAGTCATGCAGCAGCAAGGAGAACTAACTCCTCAGAGGCTGAGAAAATTTCTCCTTCATAGCACAGTCACTTAATAAGAATATGTAAAAATTCCCTTTCCTTTTCTTCAAGAGAATGCACAGAATTTATCAGAATAGAGAATATACACTCAAACTCAGAGTGTTTTATTTTCAAATAGTATATCAATGAATATAACCATTTGCCAGTAGCCACAGTACATTTTATCAATAACAAATACTAGTGAGATATTCAAATCTTGTTAATATGAGATATCATTGCTCTGGGAATTGCCATAGGAAGTCTTTGAGCACTACATATAAACCAGTGATTCTCAGTCTTAGCTGCATACTGGAATCTCTGCAGAGCTTTAAACATCTCAATGCCCAGGTTACAGAATTACATTAGAATTTCAGGGGGGATTTGAAGCCATCACAATTTTTTAAAGCTCCCTAGGTGATTTCCAAGGTGATGTAGTATTGAGAACTACAGAGACTTTATAGTTATATTAACACTTTCCCTGTGGTCACACATTTAATGATTTGAACTGAAAGGTAACTCAGGTAAAAATCAGGAAATAAGCAAAAGCACATAAACAAAGCAACAAAATCACAAGAACAAAGCAACAGTAACAACTATAAACTTTTGTTTTTTTACTCCCAAAGGCGCATTTTCTCTTCCATTACATGCTTACTGAACACTTAATTTATACATTCTGCTAAGGGCTGGTAATCAGAACAATGACCCAGACCCTAACCATGTAGATTTTTTTTTTTTTTTTTTTTTGAGACAGAGTCTTGCTCTATTGTCCGGGCTGGAGTGCAGTGGTGTGATCATGGCTCACTGCAATCTCGACCTCCCCAGGCTCAGGTTGATCCTTCCATCTCAGACAGGTACGCACCACCACACCTGGCTAATTTTTAATTTTTTAGAGATGGTGTTTCACCCTGTTGCTCAGGCTGGTCTCAAACTGCTGGGCTTGAGTGATCTGCCCACCTTGGCCTCCTAAAGTGTTGGGATTACAGGTGTGAGCCACTGCACCCAGCCTGAGGTAGAATTTTTAATCTGTTGACCGATACAGATAAGTTAATAATTAGAACTTCAATAGTAGAAAATTTTTTGCATAAAATAAAGGGTGTTGGATAAACGCAAAGGAGAGGGACATAGGCCTAGGGTGTGCAAAAGCTTATTGAATTAGTTGACACTTTATTTGAGTCTGAAAGAAAGGAGATTGATGGAGAAGTGTGGACAAGAACTACAGGCTAAGGGAATAGGATGATACAGACACAAAGGCAAGTAAGAACATGGTCCCTGATGTAGGCCCCTCCCCTGTCTCCTGCAAGATGTCCACGTCCTAATCCCTGGAACCTGTGGATATGTTATGTTACATGACAGAGGAGATTGAGTTTCCTGGTCAGTTAACCTTAAAATAGAGAGATTATCCTGGATTATTCAGAGGGACCCAATATAGTCACCAAAGACCCTTTAAAGTGGAGGAGAGAGACAGGGGAAGGTCAAAGTCAGAGAGAGAAGTAAAATGCTATGCTGCTGTCTTAGAAGACAAGGGAGGGGGCCAGGAGCCAAGGAATACAGTTGGCCTTTAGAAGCTGGAGAAGGCAAGGTAATGGATTCTCCTCAAGAGCCTGCAGAAGAAACATAGCCCTGCTAACACCTTGGTTATAGACTTCTGACCTCCATAACTTTGGGATAATATAGTTGTGTCATTTTAAAACCATTAAGTTCATAGTAAATTGTTATAACAGCAATAGGAAGCGAATACAGTTCTGCTCAGGGAAATGCAAGTGAGGATATGTCTGGGATAAAGTGTTAGTAAACCATTGAATGACTTTTGGCAGGGGAAGAAATGAAGCAGGATCATATTATAGAAAAGCCCTACTTACAGCAATATTGATGATAGTTTGAAATAGGGTCAACTCCAGGCCAGGTGCGGTGGCTCAAGCCTGTAATCCCAGCACTTTGGGAGGCTGAGGCAGGTGGATCACGAGGTCAGGAGATGGAGATCATCCTGGCTAACACAGTGAAACCCCGTCTCTACTAAAAATACAAAAAAATTAGCCGGGTGTGGTGGCGGGCGCCTGTAGTCCCAGCTATTCGGGAGGCTGAGGCAGGAGAATGGCGTGAACCTGGGAGGTGGAGCTTGCAGTGAGCAGAGATCGCGCCACTCCACTGCAGCCTAGGCGACAGAGTGATACTCCATCTTAAAAAAAAAAAATAGGGTCAACTCTACAAGGCAGCAGGATATGAGGGAGGAAGATTAGAGAGGAGACTGATGTAGTAATTTGAGTAAGAATAATAATAAAAAAAGGTAATAGCTGCTTTTTATTGAAGGTTTATGCATAACCCTGTATTTTATAGCTTAAATCTAATCTTTTATTCTTAAAAAAGTCTCAAAGGAAGTATTAATACTCATATTTTATAGAAGAGGTAACTGAGGCTTGGAGAATTTAATGAAGTTCCTGAAGATTATGCAGCTAATTAGTGATGAGCTAGGTGTGGGATCAGGTCTGTTGACCTTAAAGCACGTGTTCTTTCCACTACATCACTGTGCCTGAAAAGAAAGACAGATAGCAGCTCACCGAGGAGTGAATGAGAAAATTTTTTAAAGTGCAAGAAATCAGGGCCATTGGAAACAGTCTTCAGTATCGCAGAAGCATTTGAAGGTTTCAGAATAATAACCGAAGTTCAAGAAAGTGAGCCTAAGTCATGAAGGAAAAATAAAATGTTAAATATTGACTTTCTTTTTCTGTTAAATTCTCAAACCCTTTATGACTATGCCAATAACTTTTACCAATGTATAAAAGATTCGCTGCCATCGGTATCCACACTGGTGCTGTCTGATGGGTGAGAGCTGAGCTGATACAATCAGTGTAGAGTGAGAGGAACTCTGTGTGATAGGTAATAGGCAGAGTGTAACACCAAATCCAAATCAAGAAAGGTGGCTCACTTTCTGGGAAAATGGAAGAACTTTCTGCAGGATACTAAAGGAGATGTTGTTGTTGTTGTTGTTGTTGTTGTTGTTGTTGTTGTTGTTGTTTGAGACGGAGTGGTGCTCTGTCGCCCAGGATGGGGTACAGCCATGGTGTGATCTCGGCTCAATGCAACCTCTGCCTCCCAGGTTCAAGTGATTCCCCTGCCTCAGTCTCCCGAGTAGCTGGTACTACAGGTGCACACCACCATACCTGGCTACTTTTTTTGTATTTTAGTAGAGATGGGGTTTCACCATGTTGGCCAGGATGGTCTCGATCTCCTGACGTCATGATCCACCTGCCTTGGCCTCCCAAAGTGCTGGGATTACAGGCGTGAGCCACTGTGCCCAGCCCTAAAAGAGATCTCGATCAGGGATGCTCCTAGCTCGCTACTCAAATACCTACCTAATTCTGAAAGACAACTAAGTGTATAGTGGATAAACTCAACTTCTTAAGTGTGTCATCAACATTCAAATATTCAAGAGTGCTCATCAAAACTCAAAAAGGCTGAGAATTACTGGAATATGTTTTGTTCACCTCTGTCTCCTCATGCCTAATGGGGGTCATGTTGATATTTATTGACTTCACTAAATGAAACATGTTCAATTTTCATTTTTCTTGTTGTTGTTACTGGTTTGGTTACATATAGTGCCAAGATCTTAGCTCTAATCAATTATAGCTCCTGCCTATTCATTAATGATCTCTAAGGAAAATCCAAATTCTTAGGTTGTACTATTAATTCATAATGAGTATTGTCTGAAGTAAGGGTGCCTTTGATTAGGTTAAGCTAGAATCTTTTCTTTTATAATCCAAGAAGATTTTCATTAAATGATTGTTTCAGTGTGATATGGTCTGTGTTATTGCTATCATATTTGGCTTGAATGTGATTTGGCTCACAAGACCACAAATGTTTTCCTTTTAAAAAAGATTTATTTATTTTATTTTGAATGTGCTCTATTTTTTGAGCAGTTTCAGGTTTAGAAAAAAATTGTGCAGGAAGTATAGAGAGTTTCCATATATCCCCTCTGCTTCCACCCTCTAGTTTCCAGTATTATTAACATTTTGCATTCCTGTGGTATATTTGTTATAATTGATGAACCAATATTGACACATTAATATCAACTGAGTATACAGTTTACATTAGGTTTCACTCTTAGTATTGAACATAATTCAGGTTTGGACAAATGCATAAAGTCAGGTATCTACCATTACAGTATAATACAGAACAGTTTTGTTGCCCTAAAATTATTCTGCATTCCACCTATTCATTCCCTACTCCCAACACCAAGCCTCTGGCAACTACTGAACTTTTTACTGTCTTCATAGTTTATCTTTGTCCAGAATGTCTCACAATTCAGATCATACCAGTATGTAGCCTTTTCAGACTGTCTTCTTTCACTTAGCAATATGCATTTAAGGTTCCTCCTCATCTTTTCATGTCTTAATAGCTCATTTCTTTTAAGTCTGAATAATACACAGCTATATTCTATGGGGGTCATACAAAGAATTAATAAGGAACATCTGAAAGGGGAGAAAACCGCAAATAGGACTTCACCATTGTGGTCTCAAAACTGAACACACACCAATGTGAAGGTGGACAGAGACACAAAATCCCCACAACCATAGAAGGAGAGTGAAATCGATGAGCAGACTTAGAAAGTGCAGAGCAAAACAAAACAGTGCAGACTGAAAAATAGAGAAGCCGTCAATAGGTCAGAGGCTGAGAGATGCTGAGTTAAAGAGATATGACAGACTACTGAGATGGAGAAATTCTGCTCACTGATTGCATGGATCAATATGAGAGACGCTGCTAAAATACCTCCTCCATGTCACGTTATCATAAATCTGTCCAAAGAGAGGCTCCCTTCAATCCCCAAGCTGTTCATCTTCATCTTTCAGATACCAATTTTACTATCAAGCTTAGCTTCTGTCATATTTCCAGTGTATATGCTTTTAGTCTCGGGTTTGCATTAAGTATTTATGAAATGTTGAGATTAATTGAATTCTCTAATTGTTTATATTTAGGGCAACTGAATACATTATACCAGTTTCTGGAGGTCCTTTAGTTCAGTGGTCCCCAAATGCTGGCTCAGAGATTAGCTGTGCCAGAATCCTCTTGAAGGAATATACGAATGATAGCTTTGTAGCTCTTGCCTCTGGAGAGTCTCATTCACTGTGTCTGATGGTGCCCAAGTATCTGTATTTTTACAAAGTGCCTCAGGGGACTCTAATGCGGGGATTTGTGAGCTGAGCTTCTTCTGTAGAAGGCAAGAAAGTGAGTATTTAAGACATTGGGGCTACATGGTCTTTGTTACCACCACTGAACTCTGCCATCTTAGCATGAAAGCAAACGCAGACAACACATAAACAAATGAGCAGAGCTGTCTTGCAATAAAACTTTATTTATAAAAGCAGGTTCCTTAAAAAGTTAAACAGGCCAAGCTCTGTGGCTTACAACTGTAATCCCAGTACTTTGAGAGGCTGAGGTGGCAGGATCACTTGAGCTCAGGAGTTTGAGACCATCCTGGGCAACATAGTGAGTCCTGTCTCTACAAAGAATTAGCCAGGCTTGGTGGCACATGCCTGTGTTCCCAACTATTCAGGAGGCTGAGGTGGGAGGATCACTTGAATCCAGGAGGTGGAGGCTGTAGTGAGCCATGTTCATGCCACTGCACTCCAGCCTGGGTGACAGAGTGAGATCCTTTTGAAAACAACAGCATAAAAAGTTAAACATAGAATTACCATATGGTCTAGAAATTCCACTACTAGATATATACCCCCAAATGATTGAAAGCAAGAACTTGAACATATATTTGTATACCAATGTTCATAGCAGCACTATTCACAATAGCCAAAAGGTGCAAGCAACACATGACCATCAGCAGATAAATGGATAAACAAAATATGGTATACACATACAATGGAATATTATTCAACCTTAAAAAGGAAAGAAATTCTGACGCATACCACAGCATGGATGAACCTTGAGGATAATTGCTAAGAGAAATAAGCCAGACACAAACAGACAACTATTGTATGATTCCACTTATATTAGACACCTAGAATAGTCAAATTCATAGCAGGAGAAAGTATAATGATAGTTTCTAGCAGTTGGAGGGAGTGGAGAAGGGGCAGTTGTTTAATGGGTGCAGTTTCAGTTTGGGAGGATGAAAAAGTTCTAGCGATGGATGGTGGTGATGTTTGCACAACAGTGTGAATGTGCTTGATGCCACTGAATTGTACACTTGAGGAAGGCTAAATGGTAAATTTTTTGTTTTGTGTATTTTACCACAATAAAAAATAAACTAAAAAACATGATTAAGAAGGAGAAAATAGAAACGAAAAACAAATGGAAGGAGGCATGAATTTGGCCCATGGATGTAGTTTACTAACCTCTGGTCTAATGAGCAGCCAGGGTATGGAATCACCAGCAAGAGTTCATTTCCTCTTGGAGTTAGAATGGCAGCCAAGTCCACCTTTATTTTCTTTTGACTGGGAATTATTTCTGGAGATGGAAATCCCTGGTGTTTAACAGCATGCAATCTTTGCCAACTTCCATGGAAAACAAGGGACTCTTAGTGTCATATTCGGATCAAATGGCATTCCATATGACTATGTTCTACTCCAGTCCTCCAAAATCTACCTGGCACCAAATACCAGATAGGGCTTCTCATGAGGAGGTATTCCAAGTGCATTATTTGCCTTCAGAAGTTTTTTATTCCCTGTACATCCCTCTCTGTCTCTGTCTCTCTCCCTTGATTCTTGTGTCAGTTAAATTGCTTTTCTTCCACACAGAAAAACAAGTGAGCACAGAGAGACCTGAAGGGTTTTTCTAAAACTACTGTCTGTTGGCAGTGGAATAGAAGTCCTCATTTGTGGAGACAGGAGGAGTTTGATGACAACCATTCCCCTTCCAAATGCTATTAATTTACTTATCTTTTCCCAATGATAGTTTAATGATCAAACTGTAGCAAAGTGCCTACTCAATTACAAATCTGGAATCAGTGAATTAGTACAAATTAATGAGATTTTATCATTTATAAAGGGATGACATTACTTTTATATATAAAACTAGAATGATATTTAAAATGAGGCAACCATAGACGTTTTATCTATAGAAGTTTCTTTAATTCAACAAAATTTTGTACTTTCAAGACTGAAGTGAACTAAAACTGGTTTCCTTATTCAGAACAGTTTCCTTTGCCCCCTTAATTTTCTGATCAGACATCTCAGAGAAGTCACAAAATGGCATGTCCAATCAGGTTGGTAAAATAATGCACTTATTAGCTAGGGCATAGATTAATGCTTAAAGGAGTATACTTTTTAGGTTCACAGCAAAACCTCATTTTAAAACTAAACACTGCTCTAAAAATGAAGTCTACTGAAAAAAAAAAGAAAGTTTATTGGCTCAATTGATAAGTTTTTATCTTTATCTCATTGCTTGTTAACATACACTAAAGTAGTTTCTTTTTTCTATTTTTGTCACTGAGGCTTATACACCTCAGGTGCCCTTAAAAAAGTGTAGAAGAACAATTAATGGTGGGAGTAAGGAATTAATGGAAGAAGGTGTGTTTGTGTGTGTGTGTGTGTGTGTGTGTGTGCTGAATATGCAGTTGTTGTAAAGCAGCTTAGTGTAAGAGGGGTGGAAGTTTACATATCTTTCCATGTATTACATGAAGTAAGTTTCTGTAGTGCTGTGATCTGAATGTTTGTGTTTCCCCAAAATTCCTATGTTGAAACCTAAGGCTTAATGTGTTGGTATTAGGAGGTGGGACTTTTGGGGTGGTTAGATAATGGAGGCACAGCCCACATGGATGGGATTAGTGCCCTTATAAGTGGCTGGAAAGACCAGAGGTCTTCCCTTTCACCATGTGAGGACCTAGCAAGAAGGCACCATCCGACAAGAAAGTGGGACCTCATCAGATACCAAATCTGCTGATGCCTTAGTCATAAAATTCTCAGCCTCCAGAACAGTGAGAAATAAATATTTGTTGTTTATAAGCCATCTAGTTTATAGTAATTTGATAGCATTTTGTTATAACATCCTGAATAGACTAAGACATCTATCTACCTGGCCTAATCGTGTTCCTACATATTATTTCAGTTTCCCTGAGGGATTTTAAAATGGCATACTATTTTACAACTCTCAGGTAGTCCTCCCAGAGTTGGCTGTTGTTTCAAAACTCCTTTTCCTGAGGAAAATATCTATGGTGGTAGTCAGGCCATCTGAGTGAGCTGTGGTCTACACAAATTTACGTGCTTAAGCACAGGTACTGATGTGCTTCATTCATTCACATGTTTATGCGACAGCAAGCACTTCCTTTGTCCAAGTAGGCAATGTGGTAGAGCTGCCAGGGATGGGGACACAAAGAAGGCATGATTGCAGCAGTAAGGGCCCTGACCTAGATCAGAGGTGGGAAAAATAAAAAAGAGCAATTGAAATAAGGATTAGAAACACAGCAATGACCTCACAGATAAGGAGCTCATCCTATTGGCCAATCCCATGAAAATTGCTTAACATACTCACATTCTTTTAGTTCTTAGCAACACCATGCAGGTCCTATCATGCCCATTTTACAGGGAGCAGGAATAACCATCATTACTGGTAGAACTGGAATTCAAACCCAGTGTTTAATTCTAGAGTCTAAGCTCTTAATCTTATGCTCTTTAGCAAAATGCTGCCATTGTCTTTATATACTTTGGATGGGCAAAAAAATGCCACTACTGGTGGTGCAGGAACTAATGCCTTAAAAAAGTGACAACATAAGGATATCTAGCATGGCAGTAGAGTGAAGATTGGCTCTATGTTCTAACTCAAGGAAGCTTGAGTTACGGTCCATGGGAATATTGCTTAACCCCTCCTGTTTCTCATTGCTTAACCTCATGCTCCTCAAGTGTGATTGGATGTCAGCTATATAGTTCATAGGATTATCATAAGAATTAAATGAGATAGTGCATGAATAGTGCCTTGCTCAGTACTTGGCAGAAAGAATAGGAGTTCAATAGAAACTGCTCTGTTTTGATGATGATTAAGATGAAATGTGCCTGGCTAACTCCATATTCCAGAGTTACTCTGCCATTGATTCTGTATGAGTAAATGATTGGTAATCATTGTTCATAATTTTTTCTATGGGATACTTATTTGTTTGAATAAGGGCCATGGAATTTGGAAGCTGAAATCAAAACCAATACACTTAAAATGAAAGAAAATCAAACAACGATTGAGTAATCTATCTAACCCATCACTGAGTTTTGTTTGGTAACAATGATAGGACATAAAGAGCATACTTAAATTGCATTTCAAGTCATGGCAAATAATTCTTGGTGTTTTAGAGAGCAGATCCCCTTCCCAAAGACTTCTGAGCATGTGGCTGAAATTTCTTAAACATTCCTCAAATGAGGTACAAATTATGGCCATCCTATTTCTCACCTAGTGACTGTGTTGTCCTGGCAAGTCTTTAGTCTACATTCGCTATTTCACTTCATCAAATAAAATAAATAATATTGTTAGACTCTAATGAATGAAGAATATACAATGTGGCAGCTACTTAGTACACATTCAATAGCAGTAAACTTCACCTTTCCTGTCACCTCAAAATAATATCCAATAACAAAAACGTTTTCTTGGGTGGGGTCAAGATGGCCAACTACAAACAGTGGTGATCAGAGGCTCCAACTGAAAAGAACCACAGTTAGCATGTGAATCCTTCACCAGCAACCAGGGTATCCAGATTCTCTCATCAGAACTGACTAGGCAGCTGGCGTGACCCACGGAGAGGAAGGAAGAGCAGTGAGGTGTGGTGGCCCACCTCAGAGCCACAAAAGGCAGGGGAGCCCCCACCCTCTAGCTAAGGGAGGGGGTGAGTGAGCATGCTACCCAGCCAGGGAAACCATGGTTGTTCCACAGAACTGTGCAACCCACAGATTGGAAGATCCCACTCGCAAACTCACGCCACCAGGACCTAGGGTCCCAACCCTGGAGCCACACAGATTCTTAATAGCCTCTCAGCTGGAATATGCCTAAGCCTGCCAAGCTCCTGGGGGAGGGGCAACTGGCACCACAGCTGTGGCTGCCTGCTGCCTAGGCCATTTGAACTCCTTGGGGGAGGGGCAGCAGCCAGCACTGGGACTCATAATTGCCTAACACGCTAAGCTCCCTGGGCAGGGGAAGGGCAGCATCCATCCACCAGGCCGTGCTTTTCCCCTCCTGGAGCCAGGGAACCTGGACGGCTTGGTCCCCAAGAGGTCCCCACAGCCCAACACACTGGCTACGGCAGACTATGGCCAGAGCACCTCTTCAAGCCTGACCCTGACACATCCTTCCTCACTGGGCGGGGCTTCCCTGCAGGAACTCCAACAACTCTAGTCAGAGGCTCAGGGACAGAATCTGGATCTCCTTGGGCCTGAGCCCCTAGGGGTCAGGGTGGCCACAGTCTCTGCGGACCAGCAGACTTAGCCTTTCCTCCTGGTAGTTCTGAGGAATCTGGGCAGCCCAGAAGAGTGGGTTTTCCCCCAGCAAAGCACACCCTCCTCCACCAGGGGACATTCAAAGTGCTTTGTTAAATGGGTCCTGTTCCCTGTGCCATCCAACTGGGTGAGATCCTCCAACAGGGGTTGTCAGACACCCTATACAGGAGTGATATTACTGGCATCAGGTTGGTGCCCCTCAAGGTCAGAGATCCCAGGAGAAGGAGCAGGTACCCATCTTTGCTTCTTTCCAGCCTCCTTGAGTGACATCTCCAGGTATGAGAGCAAACCAGATGAATAGGGCCTGAAGTGAACCCCTGGCAAACTGCAGCAGCCCTATAGAAGAGAGACCTGACCATTGAAAGAAAAAAAACCCAAACAAACAGAAAGCAACAACAATAGCATCAACAATAACAAAAAATCTCCATAAAAACCCCATCCAAGGGTCAGTAGCCTCAAAGATCGAAACTAGACAAACTCAAGAAGATGAGAAAGAATCAACAAAAAACATGCTGAAAACCCAACAGGCCAGAGTGCCTCTTCTCCAAATGATCGCAACACCTCTCCACCAAGGGTGCAGAACTGGACGGAGGATGAGATGAATGAATTGGCAGAAGTAGGCTTCAGAAGATGGGTAATAAAAAGCTTCACTGGGCTAAAGGAGCATGTTCTAAACCCAGTGCAAAGAAGCTAAGAACCTTGATAGAATGTTAGAGGAGCTGCTGACTAGAATAACCAGTTTAGAGAGAAACATAAATGACCTGATGGAGCTGAAAAACAAAACACGAGAACTTCGTGAAGCATAACCAAGTGTCAATAGCTGAATCGACCAAGCTGAAGAAAAGATATCAGAGTTTGAAGACAATCTTGCTGAAATAAGCTATGCAGACAAGATTAGAGAAAAAAGAATGAAAAGGAATGAACAAAGCCTTCAAGCAATATGGGATTTGGTAAAAAGATTGAACCTATAATTGATTGGAGTACTTGAAGGAGACAGGGAGAATGGAAACAAGCCAGAAAACAAACTTCAGGATATTATCCAGGAGAACTTCCCCAACCTAGCAAGACAGGCCAACATGCAAATTCAGGAAATACAGAGAACACCACTAAGATTCTTCATGAGAAGATCAACCCCAAGACACATAATCATCAGATTCTCCAAGGTCAAAATGAAGGAAAAAAATATGAAGAGCAGCCAGAGAGAAAGGCCAGGTCACCAACAAAGGGAAGCCCATCAGACTGACAGCAGACCTCTCAGCAGAAACTCTACAATCCAGAAGAGACTGGGGGCCAATATTAAACATTCTTAAATAAAAGAATTTTCAACCCAGAGTTTCATATCCATCCAAACTAAGCTTCATAAATGAAGGAGAAATAAAATCCTTTCCAGAGAAGCAAAAGCTGAGGGATTTCATTACCACCAGGCCTGCCTTGCAAGAGCTCCTGAAAGAAGCACTAAATATGGAAAGGAAAGACCAGCCACTGCAAAAACACACCAATATAAAGACCAATGACACTATGAAGAAACTGCATCAACTAGTGTGCAAAATAACGAGATAACATCATGATGACAGGATCAAATTTACACATAACAATATTAACCTTAAATGTAAATGGGCTAAATGCCCCAATTAAAAGACAAGGACTGGCAAATTGGATAAAGGGTCAAGACCCATTGGTGCGCTATATTCAGGAAACCCATCTCATGTGCAAAGACATACATAGGCTCAAAATAAAGGGATGGAGGAAAATTTACCAGGCGAATGGAAAGCAAAAAAAAAAAAAAAAAAAACAAAAAAACAAGAAAAAAAGAAAAGCAGGGGTTGCAATCCTAGTCTCTGGCAAAACAGACTTTCAACCAACAAAGATCAAAAAAGACAAAGAAGGGCATTACATAATAGTAAAGGGAACAATTAAACAAGAAGAGCTAACTATTGTAAATATATACGCACCCAATACAAGAGTACCCAGATTCATAAAACAAGTTCTTAGAGACCCACAAAGAGACTTAGACTCCCACACAATAATAGTGGGAGATTTTAACACCCCACTGTCAATATTAGACAGATCAGTGAGACAGAAAATTAACAAGGATATTCAGGACTTGAACTCAGCTTTGGGTCAAGTGGGCCTAATAGACATCTACGGAACTCTCCACCCCAAATCAACAGCATATACATTTTTCTCAGTGCCACATGACACTTATTCTAAAATCGACCATGTAATTGGAAGTAAAACACTCCTCAGCAAATGTAAAAGAACTGAAATAATAACAAACAGTCTCTCAAACCACAGTGCAATCAACTCAGAACTCAGGATTAAGAAACTCACTCGAAACCACACAATTACATAAAAATTGAACAGCCTGCTCCTCAATGACTCCTGGGTAAATAATGAAATTAAGGCAGAAATCAAGTTCTTTGAAACCAATGAGAACAAAGACACAATGTAGCAGAATCTCTGGGACACAGCTAAAGCAGTGTTAAGAGGGAAATTTATAGCACTAAATACCCACATCAGAAAGCTAGAAAGATCTCAAATCAACACCCTAAGATCACAATTAAAACAGCTACAGAGGCAAGAGCAAACTAATCCAAAAGGTAGCAGAAGACAAGAAATTACAAAGATCAGAGCAGAATTGAAGGAGATAGAGACATGAAAAACCAGGAGCTGATTTGTTGAAAAAACTTAACAAAATAGACCATTAGCTAGAGTAATAAAGAAGAAAAGAGAGAAGAATCAAATAGACACAATAAAAAATGAAAAAGGAGATATCACCACTGACTGAAAGAAATACAAACTACCATCGGAGAATGTTACAAACACCTCTATAACAAACTAGAAAATCTAGAAGAAATGGATAAATTCCTGGACACATACACCCTCCCAAGACTAAACCAGGAAGAAGTCAAATCCCTGAATAGACCAGTAACAAGTTCTGAAATTGAGGCAGTAATTAATAGCCTACCAACCAAAAAAAGCCCAGGGACTGATGGATTCACAGCCAAATTCCACTAGAGGTACAAAGAGGAGCTGGTATTATTCATTCTGAAACTATTCCAAACAATTGAAAATGAAGGACTCCTCCATAACTCATTTTATGAAGCCAACATCATCCTGATACAAAAAAGGGGCAGAGACACAACAACCACAAAAAACTTCAGGCCAATATCCCTGATGAACATCGATGCGAAAATCCTCACTAAAATACTGGCAAACAGAATCCAGCAGCACATCAAAATCTTATCCATCATGATCAAGTTGACGTCATCCCTGGGATGCAAGGCCGGTTCAACATATGCAAATCAACAAACGTAATCCATCACATAAACAGAACCAAAGACAAAAGCCACATGACTATCTCAATAGATGCAGAAAAGGCCTTTGATAAAATTCAATATCCCTTCATGCTAAAAACTCTCAATAAACTAGGTATTGATGGAACATATCTCAAAATAATAAGAGCTATTTATGACAAACCCACAGCCAATATCATATTGAATGGGCAAAAGCTGGAAGCATTCCCTTTGAAAAATGGTACAAGACAAGAATGCTCTGTCTTACCACTCCTATTCAACATAGTATTGGAAGTTCTGGGCCAGGTCTATCAGGCAAGAGAAAGAAATAAAGGGTATTCAGATAGGAAGAGAGAAAGTCAAATTGTCTCTGTTTGCAGGTGACATGATTTTATATTTAGAAAACCCCATCTTCTCAGCCCCAAAACTCCTTAAGCTGATAAGCAACTTCAGCAAAGTCTCAGGATACAAAATCGATGTGCAAAAATCACAAGCATTCCTTTACACCAGCAATAGACAAACAGAGAGCCAAATCATGAATGAACTCCCATTCACAATCGCTACAAAGAGAATAAAATGTCTAAGAATACAGCTAATAAGAGATGTGAAAGAACTACAAACCACTGCTGAAGGAAATAAGAGAGGACACAAGCAAATGGAAAAACATTTCATCCTCACAGATAGGAAGAATCAATATCATGAAAATGGCCATAGTGCCCTAAGTAATTTATAGATTAAATGCTATTCCCATCAAACTATCATTGACATTTTTCACAGAATTAGAAAAAAACTACTTTAAATTTCATATGGAATCAAAGAAGACCTTGTATAGCCTAGACAATCCTAGGCAAAAATAACAAAACTGGAGGCATCTGACCTCGAACGATACTACAAGGCTACAGTAACCAAAACAGCATGATACTGGTACCAAAACAGACATATAGACGAATGGAACAGAACATAGACCTCAGAAATAACACCACACATCTACAACCATCTGATCTTCAACAAACCTACAAAAACAAGCAATGAGGAAAGGATCTTCTATTCAATAAATGGTTCTGGGAAAACTGGCTAGCCATATGCAGAAAGCTGAAACTAGACCCCTTCCTTACACCTTATACAAAAATTAACTGAGGATGGATTAAAGACTTAAATGTAAAACCCCAAACCATAAAAACCCTAGAAGAAAACCTAGGCAATACCACCAGGACATAGGCATGGGCAAAGACTTCATGATGAAAATGCCAAAAGGAATTGCAACAAAAGCCAAAATGGACAAATGGAATCTAATTAAAATAAAGAGCTTCTTCACAGCAAAAGAAACTATCATCAGCGTGAACAGGCAACCTACAGAACAGGAGAACATTTTTGCAATGTACTCATTTGACAAATGTCTTATATCCAGAATTTGCAAGGAACTTAAATTTACAAGAAGAAAACAACTCCATCAAAAAGTGGGCAAAGGATATGAACAGACACTTCTCAAAAGAAGATATTTATGCAGACAACAAACATTAAAAAATCCCCAACATCATTGATCATTAGAGAAATTCAAATCAAAACCACAATGAGATACCATCTCATGCCAGTCAGCATGGTGATTATTAAGAAGTCAAGAAACAATAGATGCTGGTGAGGCTGTGGAGAAATAGGAATGCTTTTACACTTTGGTGGGAATGTAAATTAGTTCAACCATTGTGGAAGACGGTATGGGGATTCCTCAAGGATCTCGAATCAGAAATACCATTTGACCCAGCAATCCCATTACTGGGTATATACTCAGAGGAATATAAATCATCCTACTATAAAGACACATGCACATGTATGTTTATTGCAGCACTGTTTATAATAGCAAAGTCATGGATGCCCAAATGCCCATCAATGATAGACTGGATAAAGAAAATGTGGTACATATTCACTATAGAATACTACACAGACATAAAAAGGAATGAGATCATGTCCTTTGCAGGGACATGGGTGAAGTTGGAAGCCATCATCCTCAGCAAACTAACAGAGGAACAGAAAACCAAACACTGCATGTTCTCGCTCATAAGTGGGAGTTGAGCAATGAGAACACATGGACACAGGGAGGGGAACATCACACACCAGGGCCTGAGGGTGTTGTGGGGTGGGGGCAGTGGGGAGGGAACTTAGAGGATGAGTCAATAGGTGCAGCAAACCACCACGGCACACGTATACCTATGTAACAAATCTGCACGTTCTGCACATGGATCCTGGAACTTAAAATAAAAAAAAAATAAATACAATAAAAAGTTTTCTTTATTCTTTTCACAAAGCAAAAAATGTTATAGAAGCCTCAATGTCTGAGTCTCTTGCTTGTCATATTGGTCTTGAAGAGACTCTCAATATACTGCCCAATTGCTTTTTTCAATATTAGTGGTTCCAGCACCTTAATTAGGAATTTTGCTTATAGATTTCATGATTCTTAGAAAAGGAACATGTTTTCCAGTTGAGAGGAAATGTGTCTTACAGCTGGTAGCTCAGCTGTACTAGGGAAGGTATTGTTATCTTGCCCAAAGCAAACTTCTAGGGCCATCTTTGTACCTTGGGGATGGGATAGCCAATGACTGGAAGCCAAGAAAGCAGAGGCAGGAGGAGCTACATTCAGCTTTTTCCAACCCTGGAAATCGGTCAACCCAGCCCAAGCATATTGTTGGTGTTTTATTAAAAGGGTTGATTTGGGGAATGTTGTGTTTGCCATGCAATGTCATGCCTCAAAGCCTTGGTTTCCAGCCTTTATTTATATGCTTAATTGTTGCTATGGAAATTCAATATTTAAAGAGGTAATTATTGCTGATCTTGTTGCATGTGTCCATTTCTGATGTCCAGCTGTTAGCTCTTTAGCTCCAGTCTAGCAGATTAATTACTGCTATTGATTACTTTGAGCTTCTCTCTTCACACCTGCAGTCTGTGTAATTAGCTGGTGGCCTCCTCTGAAAATTAGGAGCAGTTTCATTCTGGCACTTTGCCATTTCCCAGCCATGTGCACTGCACTGATGAACAAAAGCAAATCTATTTTAAATAGAGATATCTGGGTAATGAACTCTTTGTGTTTTTGAACTATCCGTGGATAATTCAAATTACCCTCTGTTAGCAAATATTGTACCTCATTTGATGACTATCTGCAAAGAAAAAAATTCCAAAACACTAGTTTTTATTCCCATTTCCACCTTGCAGAAATTTGCTCCTGTGTGTGGTTTAAAAAAATCAAAACAACTTTCTAATTCTGCTGCTGAGGGTATTGGGGTACTGAAATAGGCTTCCTAATGGAGCCCAGTGGAAGCAGCTGAGTTTGCACTCTGAGTATTGCAAACATCCAGGTATTAATGTGCATCCCTTCATTAGATTCACACTCCTAGTTTGAGAGACAAATCGCCATTCTTGGGAGTCACTGATATGCATTGGGAATAAAAAAGTTTCCTATTAAAAATGATTGAGTCAGAGACATGAGAGAGATATTTGATATTCTTCCCAACTTTGTTCCAGTTAATAAGATTTTTTTTTCCTCCCTGCTCACTGGAAACTGAATCTGGAAATGCCAAACATTCAAATCTAGAGTTCTGTGTCTGATGTCCTGTTTCGATACTTCCTCATCTGTCATGTGTTACTGCCTAAACACTCAGGAAATACAAGTTGGTGGTAGAATTGGGAGTGGACTTCCCAAGTAATGGTATGCAATGATTACTAACATGGCCAGCTGTTCCTTTCCATGCTGACAGGGTCCCACTAATGTTCCCTTTAGCTATTTAACTTGTGTTGAGTTATTATCCTAAGGGTTATTGCTTATTGTAGGAAAAAATAAAGTGTTTTCTTCCTGCCCATGGCATGCATCTGCCAGCTTTCATTTGAAGCTTTAAGTGAGTAAGTACGTCCCAAAGCCCACTCAGCGCATGGAAGGAAAAAAGTTCAGAAAGTTACCACTTGTCAGAATGATAAAAGTATCATTCCACTACCACAAGCACAAATGTGTTTAGTTGGATCACAGCAAACTGGGAATGTTCCATCAGCTCCAAGACAGCCTCTACGGAAGCAAAGAAAGATGACCTTCTGAGGTTCCAAGCAATCAGGTGGGCGATGGTATGCAGCAGAAAAGAGTAGAGAGATAAGGGGCACTCACTCGTCAACTCAATGAAGCTTTGGGGCATCTAATCGGGAGGCTGAACACCGGCCCTCAGACCAGAAGGTCCCCAGCTGGAATCTCATCATTTCCACCGCTTCCAGATTAAAATTTAAATTGTGTGCTGCCATTTGGAGGCCTTCTGGGCAGGGTCTCACAGAGTCACCAGTTATTAGGAATGCCTCCTATTATCACAACCCTAAAAGCTATTTGAACAGCAGCCTAATGTGATTGTGATTTCCAAGGACCATTTGCTGTTATTGCAGCTCTGCTCGGATGTGAGTGGGAGCGACTAACCAAAGTTGCCTTCTCATAGTACCAGAGAGGAGAATCAGAGGCACCAGAGAAAGATTTAACTGGCCATAAATGTAAATTCATCCCCAATAAACAATCTTTTGTTCCCCCCATTTAGGCAAGGTCATCTCTCATTCTGGCAAATAGCAATACTCTTTCCCGTACAAGAGTGTAAACTTTAGAAATTCATATTAATTATAATTTCAACTCCACTGGAAATATGAAAATTATGAAAACATAGTTTTAAAGAGGTACTATAGTAAAATACGAAGGGATAGTTTTACATAATATTCCATACTTATGGGTGATAGACAGGGATTTAAACATGTATGTAGTTTCTCTTTGAAGCCAATGCAAAAATTAAACACACTAACCTTATGAATATCTGAGGCTACGCACAGTATATGTGGTATAATGTTAGACATGCCACAGATCTCTGATGTATGGAGTTACTTCAGTCATTGGTTTTTCACCACCAGCAGAAGAAAAATGCAAAATATCTAGTTTAGTTTTTTAAACCTGATGTTTAAAACCAGCTAAGTATTTTTTTTTTTTTTGAGACGGGGTCTCACTCTGTTGCCTGGGGCGGAGTGCACTGGCGCGATCTCGGCTCACTGCAACCTCCGCCTCCTGGTTTCAAGCAATTCTCCTGCCTCAGCCTCCCGAGTAGCTGGGATTACAGGCTTGCACCACCACACCTGGCTAATTTTGTTTTTGTTTTTGTTTTTTGAGATGGAGTTTTGCTCTTGTTGCTCAGGCTGGAGTGCAATGGTGTGATCTTGGTTCACCACAACCTCTGCCTCCCGGGTTCAAGTGATTCTCCTGCCTCAGCCCCCCAAGTAGCTGGGATTACAGGCGCCGACCACTACTCCCAGCTAATATTTTGTATTTTTAGTGGAGACGTTGTTTCACCATGTTGGCCAGGCTGGTCTCCAACTCCTGACCTCATGATTCGCCCACCTCGGCCTCCCAACGTGCTGGGATTACAGATGTGAGCCACTGCGCCTGGCCAAAACCAGCCAAGTTTTTAAAAACATGATGAAGAATACGTGTGTGCATGTGTGTGTGTGTTCAAAGTTACTGGGAGTATATAACCTGTACTCCATTATACCACCATAGGCTGTAATAAAAAGTTACCTGAAATTACAATTGAGAAATTATCTAGTGAATAATAAAAATAGTGCAGCAGATAGGTATGCAGTACATATTATGTGCCAGGTATTGTGCTAAGTGCTTTGAATAAATCACCTATTTTAATCCTTGCAGCAAATTATCTGGATTTTACAGAGGAAGGAGGACATTGAAGATTAGAGGTTGCATAGCCTGACCATGTTTACATCTAGTAAGTGACTTTTTTTTTCTTCTAAGCCAGACTTTTATCTACTTCTGTTCATTTTATTCCAGTTTTGTAGCCTTGATGATGTTTTGTAGAGCCTTGATTCATTTATGTGAATTCTTTAATATTTTAATGAAATATCCATTCATAGATGTGGTGTCTTTGGGCCTAACTAATATTATATAAGGCTTAGTCTAAAACGTAGTTTTTGCCTTAATTTATTTTTACTTATTGCAAGAAGTTGCATAAGAAGTTCCAAGGTCCTGTTATCTTGTCTATGAGGAAAGAGCCCATTTAACCAAATGGGGAGAGAGCAGAACTGGGCACCTGTGCTACTGTTGCTTGACCAGGGTCAGGAAGAACACTCAGTGACTGTCATCGGTTCTCCCGTGCAGAAGCCTTTTTGCTGGAAGAATGCAGATTATTATTGATTCCATTACTGGAAATGTAGGGAAATCTTCCCCCACAACCTTGCTGCTGTTTCTTTCTTGGTGCATACAATTATTTTTGTTTCACTTGGATGCTTGAAAAATTTATTCCAAGAAAACAACCAAATAATGTCTCTTTTTATTTATGTGTAACACATATGTATGATATGTTTCACTTTTCTACATATATATGGAAAAACAAAAATAGATATCATTATATATAAGTATATATAAAATATATTTACTATATATATAAAGTAAATATAAAATATATTTACTTTATATATATAAAGTAAATATATAAAATATATTTACTTTATATATATAAAGTAAATATATAAAATATATTTACTTTATATATAAAGTATATATAAAAATATAAAATATATAATATAAAATATATATCTGTGTGCATTGCTGTTCCATACACCATGGACACACAAGTGCATGCACAACACACATACACACAATTGCAGTTCCATGCAGTGTTTCTAAGATGTTTTCTGGCAAGGGCCTTTGAAAGAATAAAGGGCATAGCCTTCTCAGTGTCAGTACATGTGTAAATATCTTCAGGTTCTATGAAAACATCTTCAGTTTTTCAATAATAGATTGTTTGGAGGGCAGTTTTATGATCTATAGTACACATTAGATAGCCTTCAAGGAATTCTTCTGCAAAAACAGAGGAAGTCAGAATTTTTTGATCTTATTTTTTCCCTTTCTATGTCTAAAAATGTCCCATCTCCAGAATCAACTCTTGCCCTAATGAGCTGAAACTACATTAGCAAAGTCTTAGGCAGATAAATGGACTCAAACCTTGGTTTGATGATCCTACTTAAGACATTCAATTAATTCTGTTTTGCTACAAGCTAATTTATGACTTTGTATTTATTCAAAAAATGTTGAACATACAAAGCAGTGGGAGACAAAGTAATGAATTATTCTACCTTCCTTCATGTGCTCTCCTGTGTTCACTACAGTAAGGGAGGAAGAGAAACAGGAAAGAAATGCTTTTGATGTAAGATATGTGGGTATTTTCTTGTCATACGAGGCAGCCTTTCTCTGATAAAAACACATATACAAGCCCTCTAGGAGATGCTAATTAATACATTAAATGTTACTTTATTAATTGCTGTTACAATTTTCTTTATTTACCCTGTAAATAGTTTTTTCTCCTTCCTTTCTTACTTTCTTGATTCCTTCATTTTTTCCTTCCTTCCTTCCTCCCTCCCTACCTTCCTTCCTTTTTCCCTCTTTCTGTCCCTCCCTGTTTCCTTCTTCCCTCCCTCCCTGCCTCCCTCTCTGTCTTTGTTCCTTTTCTTTGTGATAAGATTTAGTTTAACGTGGTCATAGAACTTGCTTGCTTTATGGTGGATCATGAGTGGCAGCTTGATAAAACTGTGATACATTAACAGATATTATGATCCACTTTTCTGTGGCAAAGCTTAATAATTGATCTGTATAATTTGAGAGAGAAGAAAAATCTGAGAGCTTTAAAGTAATTTACAGCCCCATGCCACACTCGGTGTGTTTTTAATGAGCTTCTCTAGATCTACAGGTAGTGAAAGTTTTCTCTGCTGATGTGCAGGGCAACTTGTCAAGACATCCTGCAGGGAAGTGTGTTCAAAGAAGGTCAGCCAGGGAATGGAACTGCATGAGGTGATGCTGTGGTATATAATTGACTTCCTGTTTCTCTGGAAAGTGATAGAAGGTGAGGTTGAGAAGAAGCTGCCCCTTCTCAATTCCCTCTCCCTCTTTCTCAGTTTATTAAAACTGCTTTTCTTATCTCCCCTTCTACTATTTATCTTTCCTCTTTGCATTCTGCAGCCTAAAACTCTAATCGCAACCCATGTTGCTTTTGTTGCTGAATTAAGAATATTAAATATTTCTTATAAATGACCCCATATTTCCAGACTGCTTTGTTTTAGAAGGCTTATATTTTTCATCTATTTTTCTGAGGGCAAGCAAAAATCATGTTCCTCTCCCCAGCATGACAGGCAACGTTATTGTGTGAGATGAGTTAGTCTTGCTATGTTGCAAAAGAGAGTCATATTCTTCGGGACTCTTTGCTGTGATATTTTTTGCTGTGTCCAGTCCTGTACTCTGGAGGACTAACTATCTCCACCTATCTTGACAGACTCCTCCTCACCCTCTAATCAATGACCATGCACAAAATATACATTTGTCAAAGTCATTTGCCAAAGACTTTCTGCTTATACCAATATTTCTGCTTATACCAGTTGGAAAAATAAGTGCTTAAAATGAACATATTTCAGTCAATTTAAAATAAACTTCATCTTCATGGTATGAAAGAAAGTAATTGTAGAGTACCTTTCTTTTGTTGCATTTAAAAAATGTAGTTCTAAGTATCTATTATGTTAGACAGCATTCTGTGAACCACTTGCTTTCTTCTCTCCAGAGAATTTCAGAGAGTGAACTTGGATAGAATCAGTCATATGTCAATTGCCAGCAGGGTGATATAGGACCTTGACAATGCTGGTAAAAAGTACAGGCAAGTGAGGATAGTATATGCACAAGGATAGCCAAGGAACTGATCCCCACCCCCCTTTATTCTTTGGTGTATGGAGAAGGCTTCCAACATTCTCTTGCCTGGCTGTGTTTATAGAGGGGCTGTGTGGTGTTCTTGCTGGTCTGGCTTTCTCTTGCATTTTCTTGTTAGGACTTCTGGAAAAGAGAGCTTTCCTCGGTTGTTCAGAGGAGGGCAGAAACCCAACATTCTTTCAGAGCTGTCCAAGGTGAAAGGGGTGTGGAAGAACAAGAACATCGGTGCTCAGCATGAATCTGCCCCATGTCACATTGGAGCTCGCCATGGGAACTGAGTCTCCTATCATATCCTGGTTTTCCAGTTGACAAAACATGGAGTGAATGAGGGGTGCTTCTGATGAGGTCTTAGAAGTCATCAAGACATCAAGGAAGATGTGTCTCAGGTTTTGGCTCAACATTTCTGATTATCTGGATGTTTAAAACATTGAATGTTTGAAAGATTATTTTATAAAGAAAATGGTGACAAAGGAAAAGAAAACATTTTTTTCCCCCAGAGATTCCCTAAGGGATGTGCACGTAGATCTTCTACTCCAGGCTGGATTGCTCTGTGGTCAGTAGAGATAGCATGAGATGGAACAGCAGATGCACCGTGTCCAGGTACTAGGAGGAGCTAGGACACTGGCATCATTTATCTGTACAGCTCACTTCCTGATTTTACCCTTCCGTAATCACACTGAACAACTAGGTACTCACATTTAAGTGCCGTCTTAGGAATTGGCCAAATTAAAAAGATACAAATTTCCCATCTAGGAACCAAGACATTAAATTGCTAATACCAGATGAGGCAAACTTCCATGGGCTTCTATATTGGGTAAGTTTTTATGGATCCCTGACTGGCATTCTTTGGCACAGTTGCATTTCATGTGAATCAAGCTGTGATGACTATGCTACTCTCCAAGGGTATTCAAACTGCTGTTCCTTGCGTAGCTCTCTCAGGCCCCAGTTTTTGGACCCTCTATTTTGGAGACACTGTTTTGCCTGTTGAGTTGAATCATCAAGATGGACTTTTCTGACTTTCTAGATTCACCTTATATGCTGTTTGATCTTTATTACTTGCAATATGAAGCCATACTTTATTTTACCATTTAAAATGTAGCCATAGGAATAGATCATATTTTAGTCCTGATGTTAATCTAGACTTCTCCATAGAGGCAGTATTTTTTCTTCATGGGAACTCCTGCAAATTTTCACAGTTATATTTTTATGCATGATTTTAAAACCCAAAACTTTGAGTTAATGGCTATTCCAGTTATTTCTAGTAAGGAAGATAATGACTATAATTATAAATTATAGGCTGAAAAAAAGTTCATTTTAAGGTGAAACCTTGGGTATTACCTGAGTTCTAAAGTGACCTATTTAAGACTTGGTCTTCAAACTGATGTGTCTAAATTTAATATTATAGTAAACTAGCTATTCTAAAACATGGCCAGGGAATGGATATTTGAGTTAAACAAACTTGGCTCTGGAAAGGGCCATGTAGCATGAATGGTATAATTTTGTGTAGAAGAAAATAATATATACTTCATTCTAAATGTATGTTAAAAATAATTTAAACCTTCTTTAGTTTATAAAACCTTCCTGGAATTTTGCAATGCTTAAGAGTTATTAGGCACAATAATTACTATATTGAATTATAGGGAATGTATGTGGAATGTATATTGAAAGACTTGAGTATTTCTCTATTTAAATAGTTGGGTATTTGTACAAGGCAGTGATGTATAGTGAGAGTCTTCCTTTTTTCCTTCCTTCCTTCCTTCCTTCTTTCCTCCCTTCCTCCCTTCCTTCCTCCCTCCTTCTCTTCCTCTCTCCCTGTCTTCCTCCCTCTATCCCTCTCCTCTCATACCCTATCCCACTTTTCTCTCCCCTCCCCTCCCCTTCTCTCTTCTCTTCTCTTCTCTTCTCTTCTCTTCTCTTCTCTTCTCTTCTCTTCTCTTCTCTTCTCTTCTCTCCTCCATTCCTTTCAGAAATATCAACCAAATGCCCTCTCTGAGCCAAGCATTATGTTGTGGAGATACACAACTAAGACATGTAAGTCAATTACTATCTGCTTTGTCTCTTAAACCTAGAACATAAAAAGTAATTCTTTATTCCTTTTTTTTTTTTTTTTTTTTGCTCTGCTTACACAGCTGTCAGAATGCTTGTTGACTCTACCTCCAAAATATATAACCCGGATCTGCTACACCAATCAACTGCCATACCTACCCACCTTAGGGCCATGCCATCATCACTTTCACCTCATCTATTACAGTTGTCACCTAGCTGGTCTCCTGGCATAGACGGTTACCTTCCTTATCATTTATCTTCTAGTAGCCAAAGTGCTGTTTAAAAATATAAATCCTATCGTGTCGTCTCTCCGCTTTTTGTAACCATCCAGTAACTTCCAATGCTTTGTATTTGATGATGAGTTCTTAATTCTTTCCTTTGTCCTTACATGGCGTGACCCCTTCTACCTCCCTAGTCCCTTGCTGGTAACTCCCTCTCTTGCATACTGCTCTCCAGTGATACTCATGCACTCTTTGATCTTCAGAAAGCTTGTGCCTGCCTCAGAGTCCTTGCCCTTGATTTTTCCTCTGCCCAGAGTGATCTTTTCCTCATTGCTATGGCAGGTTTCATTTCTTCATTCATGCCTTAGCTCAGATGCTAGCTTTCTAGAGAGAACTTCCATCACCTGGCTCCAGTCTTCATCACTCTCTATCACGTTGCCTTACTTTATTATTCTCATGACACTACTGCTAACCAAAATTACTTTATTAATTTATCTGTTTGCACAGTTTTTATTTACGTTTCCCACTAGAATGTAATCTCTATGACAGCTGGTCATTTTCTGTTTTGTTTGTGACTGCATCCTTATTCATGACTGTATCCCCAATGCTGAGGCCAGAGTTTAGCATATTCCAGCGGCTAGTTTCTTACTTTTCTTTCATAAATCTTATGAAGGCTGATGGCTTCTATTTAAAAAACTTATATTAGTCCTTTTACAAAATTTAAGTCTAATATAACAAGGATGTATCAGTCTGCTTGGGCTGCCATAACAAAATGTCACAGACTGGGAGGCTAGAAGTTCAAGATCAAGGTGCTGTCAGGGTTGGTTTTTCATGAGGCATCTCTTTCTGGCTTGTAGATAATTGCCTTCTCCCTTTTTTCTTCTCTGTGCACACTCAGGGGGACAGAGAGAGAGAGGGAGAGGGGTGGATCTATCTGATATCTCTTTCTCTTCTAACAAGAACAATAATCCTATTGAATTGGGGCCCCTTCCTTATGACCTTATTTAACCTCAATTTCCTCCTAAAGGCCCTATCTCCAAACACAGTCACATTGGGGGTTAGGACTTCAAAATATAAATTGGGAGATGAGGACACAGTTCGGTGCATAACAAAGGATGAGGAGAAAAGTCCTTTTATTTTGGTTGTCTAAACTATAATGAATTTGTGCAATCTACACAGGAACAATCTGAGAATTTGGCATCTATATTTTGGCCAAAGTATTGCTTGACTTGTAGTTAGTATATCTCAGTGTATGTTATGTCACAAATTGTATATTTTAATGGGATATTTTAGTGAGCTTCTCCTTGATATGCACAGTGGGGCATAAACATGCTGATAATTTAAATTGTGATTTTTTTTTTCAGAAGGGTTTGGCTAGGTAGCATGCTTAATTGTATGGAGCTCTTCTTCTCAGGAGTTTGCCTTCCAAAACTCCTTGAAGCTTCATGCTTTCAATGAGCATTAATATTATGATGTGCAAAAATTTACCATGGGCCAAGCTTAATTCCATAAAAGCCAGATAGAAGGCTTCAAAAAAAGATAGAAAACAAATTATGAAAAAACTCTTTTTCTTGTCTTCTCTCTTTCTTCTCACCATGTTTTCTCTTTCTCCTCATGCTTTCTTCTTTAGAAGGAAATCTTGGGTGAGATATGATTTCCTTAATTCACTTTATTGCCTATTTCCCTAGGCATGAATATTTAGGAGATACCTAAGGATGGTTTCTAGGCAGTGACAGAAATGGAAATTATTTACCCTGGGAACTCTGCATGTATCCTTGTTAACTCATTTGCATACTGTTAAATGAATAACATATTGGTGGGACCAGAAGACTTGGAAGCTCTCCATCATCCACACTCCATTTTTATACTCTGTTTTTAGAGTGACAATCTTGTTTGTTTACCTAAGTTGCAAGATACCCCATATCTTATACAAATGGGAAAATTAATCGGGCAGATTCATGCATGAATTAAGTTGTTGCCTTGTTTTGTATTTTCAGGAATCTCAGGTGAAATAAATGGGCTTGCAGCAATAATGAGGAGTTTTCAGTCGCTGAAATTTAAATTTCTTATTGAATGATTCAGTTTTCAGTGGCTACATCATTCAATAATAAATTTAAAACATTACATAAATATGGTGTGATTATTATGTGCACACGATAAAACCCAGTACATTTTTAGAATAAGTCAAATTCAGATAAAATTGGAGGGGGATTGCTTAACCACTGAGAAGCTGCTAGAGCATTTGATTGTAGATTGGAAATTTTGAAAACCTTCACATAGACTGTGATAAACTGGCTGCTCTGCTGTAAATGAGATAATATGGGGCAACCACTTGATGTTACTTTCAAATCTAACCTAAGAAGCTATACAAATATTGGGGTGTATAGAGGAATTATCATATGCATATCTCCGAGGCATATAAAACTAAATTTGGTACTGAAAGTGATTTGGCTGGGATGTGGTGAAAATGTTCACCAGGTTTAAATTTTTTTAGGAACCTAAAGAAAGAGAAACCTCATGTTTTATGAGATCTAATCCATTTATTTGGGGGTGGATTTAAATGAATGAGCATCTTATTTAACTGGGCAATCCTGTGTATTCCAGCTGCAGATGAAGAGATTGCTTCGCTTCAAACCTCCTGACTGCCATGGAACCATCTGGCACATACACGTGTGTGGGTAGGTGAGACTCCAGCTAACACTAATTTACCACTTCATACCACATCTGGGTACAGAGGCAGAATTAAAACTCATCTTGAGTCCTTTCCAGCCACCTTAAAGCTCATTCTTTTCTACTTTTTAACTTATAGGAAGCTATCTATTCTTAGATAAAATAGTTGGAATAGAAAAAAATAGCAATTACAGTTGACGACATCTAAACTGGGCAAGATTTTATTTCATTTCATTCACACTTATTGCTTTTAATCAAGGGGAAAAAGGTTTGCATGTTTTTCCCCTACATGCTACTTTGAGCAATATTCATATGTTATGTGAAATGATTATGCTAAATGTATGTGAGAACTTGAGTCTTGGTGTGGATATATATTGAGTCTATGGGACCCAAAAGAGAACAACAGGATGAAGGTAGCAAAGTCAAGGGATTGTGAAAAAATGAAGAACTAGTAAGCAATGGGCAAGTGGGGACTTGAATGAGAAATTGGGTGGTTTGAACAGATTGTGTATATGTTTTCCTCTCTGAGACCCATAAGATTCCTTATATATTGCATGGGGAAAAATAATCTTTGCCTTCTTTTTAACCTCTTAACAATGTACTTTCATCATTGCTGTACATTCTTTTAAGCTTAGCTCAGAAAAGAAGGGGTAATATAATACAGGAGCTCAACTGAAAACTGGCTTTAGATCTCTCCCTAGCCAGGTAAGACACAAAGGAGGTCATTAGTAACACATGTTTTCTTGTTAAACTGGATGTATTACTACAGTTGAAAAGAGTGGTATAATGCCTAGCACATCATTTTCCCTCTTTTTTTTATAAATCATTCCACAAAGAGAAACAGCATCTTTAAGAACCAGACTGTCTGGACATGTGTCTTATGGTGTAAAATGCAGACAAGCATGGCCTAGGGGCTTCTTCTGTCTGGTTGCTCTTCACTGGAGTGCTGGTAGTGCCTGATTCAATTAGTAATCAGAGATGTAGTCATTGCTATTTTGTGACTTTAAGAGACTTGATTGTGAATTATATTCACAGATTGCAAATTTATTTCTAAATATGGCCCTTTGTATTTGAGGACCTCAAGAATCTTACAGTCTGTGATAAAATCTAGTTTCCTCCATATAATAATACATCAGACATCATTGTATTCATCAAGATTTTGGTCAATAGATCCAGGCAAAATCCATGTGTGTGAGTAATTAATTTGCCAAGATTTTGTTTGTGAGAATAATTTTGTTAGCTATCCTCCTCCTGCCCTACCCCAGCTGAGATATCTAATGACTAACACATATAATTCCAAAATGGGAACATCTCAGGTTTTAATGTCTGAAGCTAATTAGTCCACAAAAGTTGAGCCTGCCTTACTGATGATACTGTGTTGTATCTGATGGGGCAACCAAAAAGATAAGACATATTATTAGTCCTGAAGGAATTTTCAGTGTTTGGGAGGTCAAGCTGTATACAGATTTTAAAAATAACTAATTTTGAAAGTTTTGTTACTAAAGTGCCAAGTACATGGTACCTATTAAGTAGTTTTTCTATGAAGGCTTTTTTCTTCACTGCAGAGTTTAGAATGAACTTATCTTAAGGTGGATTTAAGTGTTTTTACCATGCAGTTTGAGAGCCGTTCTATCTATGAACTCGTATATAAACCATTCTGTCTATAAACCAGACAACTATGGAAGGTTATTAAAAGCAAATACCATATTTTAGATGGACACTGTGCTGAAAGTTAAAGAGTTATTAAAGACACCGTGATAAAAGTGGATATTTAAGTCTTCCTGTCTAAAAAGACCCAAGTAACAAACATTTAGGCATTTCCACACTCATGGCATCATTGGCATATGGTCTCATCAAGTGATTTATATTCATAAACACATCAGAAGTTGGAGAAAAGCTGGCAATTTAACCCTTTTTTAAAGTCACTGATTTTGTTCTATCCCGTAAGAGAACTTTGCCCATCAGAAAAACAGTTAAGACAGGTTTTGCCTATTTCTCTCCTCCCAGAAAATTTAGTACATAATTCCCATGCTTAAAAAAATGCATCAAAGAAAGAAACACCAGCTTGCTGACACCCTCATAATGGAGTATGGCCAATGCAATTGTTGATCTCTTACAGCTTTTTGAAGCAGTTAAGCTCTGAATAGGTCCACCCTTCTGTTATTTAGCCAGCAATCTGCTCCCTTCCAATGAATGAAATAAAAGCTGAGAGGCAGGATTTCATTTCTGTTCGAATTAGAAACCTGTCTCTTTAGGACCTGAGTCCTTTCCTTCTCCATTAAATCTTCTACTACCAAGGAGAGAGAGCGAGAGAGAAAAAAAAAGATTTTGGATATGCAGCATAATGATCATTCCATCAGCTAGTAACTTCACTTTGTGAGGGTTTTTTTTTCTTTAATTGAGTACTAGGAGAGCCAAAATGTGAATGCTATAAGCAAATCCATTATTCTTAGTACTGCTACCTATAATTAACACCGCCCAATGGAATTTAAAAAATATTTATAAAAAAGGCAACAGAGTAACAATTACCATTATCCCCAACTAAACTCCTCCTCCTCTATGTTTTTATCAAGAGAGTGGTGTTGTTACTTCAACAGGCACAGTGTTGTGGTGACTTTTGTGATACAAATAAAGCAAGACTAAAATTTTAATTGTGAAATTTAAAAGGAAAGTAATTGCTTAGTGTTGGCTAATTCCATCTTTGTGCGATGACAGCAGCTGCGTTTCCCTGCCTTGTGTATTTTAACAGATGGCATTATTTCTTATGGAGTGTTACAGTAGCGACCGAGGTGACACTGAAGGAAAATTCTGTGACAGTATGTTAAGTAAGATATTACTGACAGCCCTGCTGAGCGGCGATGCAGAACTGCATGTCGTGGATCTATTCTCACCTCTTCAGCCCCCACCAAATGGTCTCCATTTGTGGCATGTGGATGCAGAATGGAAAGATGAATGGAAAATCATGTTCTTTTTTTCAAATTCACTTGTTTGCATTCCATTAATAGGGCTGGGATGGAGGCTCAAATCTGGCATAAAAGATGCATTTATCAATCATGTATCATACTGTTGTACCTTTCTACCAGAGATAGGAAAATGGAGAGGAACCAATAGGCCCACGTTCTAGGCCAAGATCTGCCACAAGTCACTTTTCTCTAGGATTTGTTTCCTTTGCATAAAATGGTGGGATTGGACTATGGCAACACAGTCCCTAGGGCCCTTTTCAGCTCCAACTTTCTGTGATGCTGAAAGTCCTGTGCTTTGTATTTTAATGGCACAGAAGACAAAGCAAAATGCAGGATGGGAACTAGATTTTGCACATAGAGAAAAGATCAGTGGGTCATAGGTCAGGATCTCTGGTCATGGTTCAGCCACGAAACAAGTCCCTGAGCCCCTTAGTGTCAGCGTCTCCACTTCCTTCCCAAGGCTGCAGTCAAGAGCTAATGGGATGCTGCTGCTGAAACATTGCACAGCTGACCTGTGCTAGACACTGTGCCAAGGACTGGGGATTCAAGGGTGGGTAAAGTGGGGTTCTCATTTTGGAGGAGTCTATCTGATGAAGGAGACAGATATGTACATGGATAATTATAGTAAGTGTAGTAGAGGCTTTGATGGGCACAAATACAGGGTGATAGAAAAAAATATGTGGGAGTTGCAGCTCACCTGGTAGGGGCCATAGAAAGCTTCCAGAAAGAAATAGGTTCTAATTTAAGGCAAAGCATAGGTAGAGGCAGGAAGAACACATGACATAACCAGAAGATTCTTGAGTCAGGGTTCAGAAATCATTATGGTTTGCTTTTCCTTCTCCACTGGTCTTAAAAGTAGGAGCCTACCAGCATCTTGGGTCTTGAAGATCAAGGAGTGCTGTTATTTAAATATTCTGCCTCGTTTCTGAAACAAATGGGTTTGAATGTCTGAGAAATGATATTTAAGGAAATACCACCTGTGACTCTCAGACTCTAAATGTGAACTTGGAACATCCTCTCCAGATCTTTCTCTTCACAAATGCTTGTGTGAGGCCCCAAGAGTAGTACAGTGTGCCTTGAAGGCAGGTAGGATGGAGCTACTTTGATTGGTAGATGGAGAAATGATGGTGGCTTTATATAATATGAAGTTTTGCCTTTTTAAAACAACCTTTTCTAAGAGAAGAGCTACCAACCTTCTGCTCAGTGACAAATAAACCTACTCATATCCTCTCCCTATAGGCTGCCCCTCCTCCATACTAAAGTTTGACATTCTACAGTTTAATTAAGATCACCCTCTAAGCAGCACACCAGGAAGAGAATGATGGATTTTCTTCCTGCAATATGATAGGAAGGGCAATTCACCAAGTCTGCCACTGTCTGTGCCACTTTCTGTGGAGCTACTTGAAGACGTAAGAGTGACATCCTTGGTGAGAATGTGGTCAAGTGGGTGATGATATGATTTGGACGTTTGTCCCTTCTAAACTTCATGTTGAAATGTGATCCCAGTGTTGGAGGTGGGGCCTGGTGGGAGGTGTTTGGATCATGGAGATGAATCTCTCATGAATGTCTTGGTGCTGTCCTTGCAGTAATGAGTGAGTTCTTACTCTATTAGTTCATGTGAGATCTGGCTGTTTAAAAGAGCCTGGCACCTCCTCCTCTCCTTCTTGCTCCCTGTCTTGCCATGTGACACTCCTGCTCCCCCTTTGCCTTCCACCATGATTGTAAACTTCCTGAGGTCTCACCAGAGGCTGAGCAGATGTTGGTGCCATGCTTGTACAGACTGCAGAACTATAAGCCAAATCAACCTCTTTTCTTCAGAAATTACCCAGATTTTTTGCGGGGGAGTAAAAACTCACTGTGGGATAATTCTACACCAACTCACTATACCACATAACTACTAATGATGAGGTGAAATCAAAAGGAGCACCATGACTGCACAATAGCATCTCTAGAAGACATGACTGTGGTGGATGCAAGTGGATGTGGTGGATGTAAAGTGGCTCTCGTCAAGAGCTGATGTGTATTTCCCTGTTCTGTGAATCTAAGCTGCCCCTGTAACTGATTTTAATCAGTAGATCATGGAACAAGAGTTGTTGCAAAATATCTGAGGCTGGGCTTTGAGGGACTTGCAGTTCCCTTTTAGACTATTTCTTCTTGGAAGCAAGTGGCTTCAGAGCTACTACTGTTCCCTACGGTAGCTTTCTGGTCTTTCTGAGGCCATAATGCTGCAAGTAATCTCAAGCTAGTTACTTGGAGAGAAAGAAAGGCATATAGAGGTGCACTGGGGCACTAGACATGTGAGTGAGGACTTCTTGGACTTTTAGCATAATACATTCACCAACTGAATGTAACCAAGGGAATGATATCAGTCAACATTACCTGGAGTAGAAGAACCACCCAGCTGAGCCCTGTTTAAAATATTGACCCATAAAATTATGAGCGAATAAAATGTTTGCTGGTTAAGTCATTAAATTTTGTGGTAATTTCTATGACGATATGAAGGTGAAAGGACTAAGCCACATGGTTCTAGAAAAGAGGTTTTCAATAGTTCTGTTGATATTTGACCATCAATACCATAACTACCCAAAGGTATGATGGACTTTACATGACACAGACTTCATTACTTCTATGATCACTTCAGAATTTTTAGCAAAAATTAACTGTTGTAATGAAAAAGAGAAAAAAGTCACTGTATCAAGACTTACTATAAAGCTATCGTAATCATGGCAGTGTGGTATGGGGGTAAGAATAGAGAAATAGATCAATGGAACAGAATAGAATACCCAGAAATAGATCCACATAAGTTTAATCAACTGTTCTTTAGCAAAATGCAAAGATAATATAATGGAAAAAGATAGTCTTTTCAACAAATGGTGCTGGAACAACTGAATATCCATATGCCAAAAAAAAAAAAAAAAAAAGAGAAAGAATCTAGACACATCTTTCACAAAAATTAACTCAAAATGGATCATAGACCTAAATATAAAACACAAAACCATAAAACTTCTACAAGAAAATATAGGAAAAATCCTAGATGACCTTAGGCATGATGATGACATCAGATAAAACATCAAAGCATGATCCATAAAAACATAATTGATAAGCTGGGCTTATTAAAATTAAAAATTTCTGCTGTGCAAAAGACAGTATCAAGAGAATGAGAAGACAAGCTACGATTGGGATTAAATATTTGCAAGACATATCAGAAAAACAAATGTAATGCAAAATATACAAAGAACCGTAAAAATTCAACAAGAAAACAAGCAATCTGGCTGAAAATATGGGCCAAATTAACAGACACTTCACCAAAGAAGACATACAAATGGCAAATAAGAATACGAAAAGATGCTCCATATCATATATCATTAGAGAAATGCGAATTAAAATACAGTGGCATACTACTACACATCTATTAGAATGGCCCAAATCTGGAACACTGACAACAGCAGATGCTCATCAGAATATGTAGCAAAAGGAACTCTTGTTCATTGCTGGTGGGAATGCAAAATGGCATGTCCACTTTGCAAGAAAATTTGGCAGTTTCTTACAAAGCTAAACATACTCTTACCCTATGATCCAGCAATTACACTCCTTGGTATTTACCCAAAGGAACTGAAAACTTATGTTCACCCAAAAATATGCATGCAGATATTTATGGCAGCTTTATTCATGATTGCCAAAACTTAAAAGCAACCAAGATATCCTTCAGTAGGCAAATGGATAAATAAACTGTGGAACATCCAGAAAATGAAATATTAATTAGTGCTAAGAGAAATGACTGAGCAAGCCATGA
Source organism: Homo sapiens (assembly GCF_000001405.40). NCBI lineage: Eukaryota > Metazoa > Chordata > Mammalia > Primates > Hominidae > Homo > Homo sapiens. The sequence goes on from NC_000006.12 coordinate 18,680,692, forward strand.
AAAGACAGGGATGAAACTTAAATGCATTTGCTAAGTGAAAGAAGCCAGTCTGAAAGGGCTACATCCTGTATGATCCCAACTACATGACATTTCTTTAAAGGCAAAATTATGAAGATAGTAAAAAAGATCAGTGGTTGCCAGGGGTTGGGTGGTAGAGAAGAGGAATGAATAAGTGGAGCATAGAGGATTTTTAAGACAGTGAAAATACTCTGTATGGTACTATAACTGTAGACACATATCACTAAATATTTTTCTAAACCCAGAGAATGCACAACACCAAGAGTGAACCTTAATGTGACCTATGGACTTTGTATGAAATGTGTCAATGTAGGTTCATCAGTTGCCACAGACATGCCCTCTGGTGGGGATGCTGATTATTGGGGAGGCAATGCATGTGTAGGAGTTGTGGGTATATAGGGAATCTCTATACCACCCTCTCAATTTTGCTGTGAACCTAAAGGCACCCTAAAAAATAAACTGTTAAAAACAACAAACAACAACAACAACAAAAGTAAACATTATAGTAAAAACTATAGTCCTGATATTAAGAAGCTATATGACAAAGTGGAAAAAATAATGAATATTAGTGTAGTCTTTAGGGTTTACTCAGCACATTTCATTTAATTCTTCTGACAGTTCTCTGAGGTAGACCTTATTTCCGTTTCATAGATGGGGAAACTGATTCTCAAGGGCCACATAGACTCTATATTCAAAGCCATGTATTCTTCTTTTATTTGTTGCTTCCTAAGTAAGTTTGAAATCAGTCAAGGCAAGTCTTGAAATATCTCCCTATTAGTAATTTAACAGTTGTTGAACATGGAGTGGCAGGAACTAGGCAAATCTCTCTCAGTGCTTCACTGAAGCATATCCCCTAATCTATGCTATTGTAATCTGACCAGTTGCTTGAACGAGAAATGGCACAGGTAAAATTGAATCCTTGAATCAAACTAAGTAAATTCAAAACTACTGCCAGTATCTAGCTTGTCTGAAATTTGTGTTCCAAATAATTGGCTCAAAAATTCGCAACAGAGGTTTATGATGGAATTAGTTCTTTAAAAAGAAGCCAGTCATAATCAACAAAATCATCCTCTGAATTTGGAAGAAATTATGATTTCTTAACTAAGGCTTCTTAGTTACTTTTCATGTTAGAGAAAAACATATCTTTTTTGGATCATGCTCAATAATGTGGCATGTACAATTCTACTTTATTTTTATTATTATGATCAATTTCAGATCAAAATATCTTCCCTATCCTAAACCTTGGGATGAACAATTTCTAAGTACGTCGCTTGTAGTGTGACCTAGATAATGTGATGACAGCCCTTTGGAATGATGTCAAGACTGCTCCATGCATGTGCCCTTTATGAGCAGGCATTGCAAAATGACAGATTGAATTACACACAGAGTTTTTCTTAGTTTGCTATATACCCAAACATCTCCCAAACCCACTTCAAAACATGGATCAATCTGAGATGCTTCCTGCTTAATTATACAATTTGACCAACTGGGAAAGGCAGTAATCTTAGATCAAATCTCTGAATGAAGGAGACAAGGCAATAGTACTTGAGAAGTCAAGTAAGTCGAGCCATCATGTGCAGTAGATATGAAGACAGCACTCAATGGCCATTATAAATACGGCATGCAATTCAGTCTTCCCTGTGTGCAGCATACAAGAGGTGTTGACTTGTGATTATCAAACATTTTAATGGCATATCCATAAAGAGCACTGTGGAACTTCTTCACTCTAGCGATGCCACTATTTCTACACAGTTTGGTTCTGAAAACTGTCATTTTAATCAAAGTTAACATTAATAGATTTTAATGATAAACATGTAATGCCTATATTCAAATGTATTTATCTGGCTTCTTATTGTTTGGACATGTAACATACATTCATGATTTTAAAAATATATTTTCTGTTGAAAGCAGTGTTATATTAGCATTTGTAAATAAATTTTTATGTCTGCCCAAGAATTTCTTTAGTGGAAATTTCTAGAATTAGAATGGCTGGGTGAAAGTGTTAGGCATTTGAAATGCATTGTCATAAAGAGTATATATTTAAAGTGCCTGATATTATTTAGGATAGTCATTATCTTCCATATTGGTTAAATTTGCCCAGTAAAGAAAATAATCCAGATTACCATCAATATTTAAGGGCAGAGTTATGGCCCAGACACTAATGTAAAAGACAGCTGACCTCCTTGAACTAACATTAGAAATGAAAATAAGACCTCTAGGATATTTCTTAAATCTTAGAGAGATCAGGATTAAGCATCATGCAGTGCTTCGTGAGGGAAACAAACCTGGGTCAGTGTTGGAACAAGTCTCTGACAATATTAAGGCACCAATAAATATTTAACTTTAATGCTCATCTCAGTGCCAAATATTGCACCTGGAGGTAATATCTGACTGGATTTGGACCAAAAGGATAAATGAATGAGCACTGGCTATGAACATTTGATTTACTTAAATAGTTCTTTTGGGTGGCTCTTCCAAATTCATTCTATCCTGTAATTCTTGATTTTGAATTTTCAATCATTTTCTGTTTTCACCCTTCCACTTAGCATGTCTCATGGATTCCATTCCACCTCCTCATGCTCAGTGCTTTTTATCTTGCTTCCTTCTGCCTCTTTCCCTTCCTTTGCACGCCACACTAATGCTTTGCTTGAACACTAGTGATCCTTAAAACATATCGATGGCATATTACTTTTACCTTCTATTTTGTCTCTTTGTAAATATCCAAAAGGATGCTGACCTAAAATGAAATTCAGTTACTAAAACCATTAAAAAGAAAATGAAATAATGGTTTTATATTTGGATTATTATCAAATTCTTCCTGCTTTCTGCTTCTCCTCTGTCTCTTCCAAAGTGAAGAGGGAAAGGAGTAAAGACATTGATCTTAATAGAAACACAGCTCCAAGAAGACATGTTTTTATGTGATCACTCACATACTATTAAATTCTCATCTCATTGGATGACTCACATTTAAAAAGTAGCTTTATTGCTTTAAAACAGAGACATGCTCATTATTTTAAAAATTCAAACTATTAGAGAAGTATAAAGGTTAACGTAATAATAATCACATAGAATTTTTTCACCAAGAAATAACCACTGTTAATACACTGGTGAAAACTCTTCTAGATACCTCTTCATGCATGCACACATGCACACAGGTGCCTACACACCCAATGTTGTATAATTGGGATCACAATATTCAAACTGTCATACATGTATATATACACACACATACATACTTATAAATAATAATGTGTATATATTTATACAGATTTTGAATATTCATTCATGACAAAATATTTTACATGATCATTTTAACAGCTGCACAGCATTGCCTTGTTTATTTCACAATTTACTTAACATTCAAGAGAAAGAATATTTATTTTTTATATTTTCTTCCTCTCTCTCTGCCCTCCCTCTCTCCTTCACTCACTTTCTTCTCCCTTTCTTTTCTCCTTCTCTCTTCATTCCTGCGAGGAACCTACCGAAATGATCTCTAGAATGGGCATATTAATTGAAATTCTCGTCAATAAATCACGTGTCTGATTTTCTGTTCCCTTTTTAATACAGATTTTGATATTATTCACCTTTGCCAATCTACTGGTATAGATATGGTTGCTTTTATTTGCATTTCTTTGATTATAAGAAAGAACATCTTTTTGTGATTGCTGACTATTTTAAAGTTTTTCCTTTGGGTAATTGCCTGCTCTTGTCCTATTACATGTTTAAAAATCCCATATAATTTGTTTGAACTCTTTAAATATTAAGGCTAATAATCCTTTGTCATATGTTTTACAAATGTCATTTCCCAGTATGCATTTTTATTTTAAAAATTTGTTGACTATGCTTTATTTTCCTCTTATAATGATGTTTTAAGTTTATAGGGTCAATTTATTAGTGTTTTTGCTTTATGCTTCTGAGATTGTATGATCCGTCCTAAAAGATATTGCACATTGTACGATTTTTTTTTTTTTTAGAGTCAGGGTCTCATTTTGTTGTCCAGGTTGGAGTGCAGTGGCGTGATTACAGCTCATTGTAGCCTCTAACTCCTCGGATCAAACATTCTCCCCCTTCAGCCTCTGAAGTAGTGAGAACTATAGGTGCATGGTGCTGTACCTGTCTAATTGTTAAATATTTCGTAGAGACAGTGATCTCACTATGTTGCCCAGGCTGGTCTCAATCTCCTGGGCTCAAGTGATCGCTTATGACCCTAATGACTTTGAACAATGACTGGAAATAGTTTTAAACTCCATTTTGCCAAGTTTTCAAAATTATTAATTTGAAATTTTGAATGGGCATTTGAATACATCCCTAAAAAGTTTTAACTGAATTCAATATAAATTAATTTAGAAGTATTTATGTTTTTATAATGTAATATCTATTCAAGAGAACATTAATTCATTTATTTTTTACATTTTTTTCTGTTGTGTCCTTTAGTGGAATGTTACAGGCTTGCTAGTAATTTTGTCAATTTATTGAGATGATATCTAGTTGCTTGTTTATTTCTTTGATAATCAATGAGAAAGAGCATTGTTGATATTATTGTGGATCATTTTCTTTTTTCTTTGTGGACTTGCTGGTTTATGTCCTTTTGAATTAAAAAATAATTTGTGAGAATTATTTGCATATTAAGGTTGGTAACTCATTGGTATATGCTTTGTAAATATTATTTTCCATTTTAATTTTTGTTTTTAAAATATGTTTACAATGCTTTTAGTTTCCCACTATATGGAAGTGCTTAATTTTATATAGTCAATTTATCAGTCTTTTTGTTTAGTGATTCTTGATTCTTATGACAAAAGAACATTAAGTTTATTCTGTATGGTGAGACCTTTGAATTTCAGCCATCCTAGTGGATATGTAGTGGTATTTTATTGTGACTTTAATTTACAAGTCTCTAATGAATAATAATGTTAAGCATCTGTTTATATGTTTATTCCCATCTGCATACCTTCTTGGTGAAGAGTGTGTTCAAATATTTTGCTCAATTTTTACTGGGTTGTTTGTCTTCTTATGATTGTGTTGTACAGCATTATTATACATTCTAGGTTACTAGCCTCTTTGATGGGTATGTATTTTGCAAATTTTTTTCTCAGTCTGTGCCTTGCCTTTTCATTTTCATTGTATTATTATTTGAAGAACAAAAGACTTTAAACTCAATTTATCAGTTTTTTTCTTCCATGGATTGTGATTTTTGGTGTACTACTTTAAAAAAATCTTTGCCGAGCTGAAGGTCTCTAATACTGTCTATGTTTTATTCTATATGTTTTATAGCTTTAGCTCTTGCATTTGGTTCTAAGTTCTTATTTGAGTTAATTTTAAATATTTTGAGACTTAAGAACGAAATTTCATTTCATTTTTGCACATAGCTATCTAATTAATTGTTCTAGCACCATTTGCTGAGAAGATTATCCTTTCCCGTGTTACATGTTCTTGACATGTTGTCAAAAATCAATTGACCATTTGTATGTGGATCTATTTCTGGGTTCTATTGATCTTTGTGTCTATGTTTACACCAACACCATACTGTCTGGATTACTGTAGCTTTTATAGTACGTCTTGAAATTAGGTAGTGTAAGTCTTCTAGCTTTGTTCATCTTCTTAAAAATTATTCTAAGACCTTTGCATTGCCATATAAATTTTAGAATCAGCATGTCTGTTTCTCTAAAAAGTCCTGCTAGAATTATACCAGTTCACATATTGTATAACAATCCTACAACCATATGCTTCTATTCCCTTCTTCTAACCTTTGTGCTACTTTTGTTACACACTTACTTTTACATATGTGATCAACTCATATTTTACAATTTTTGCTTTAAACAATTATCTTTTAAGCTGATTTAGAAAAACACAAAACATCTTTTGTATCCACTTTTATATTTACTATTTCTGGTGTTCTTCACTCCTTTGCTTAGATCCAGATTTCCTTATCATTTTACTTGAACTATTTTGACATTGTACCTTTTGCTTGAAGAATTTCCTTCAATATTTTTTATAGTGTTGATCTGGTAGCTATGCACTTTTTCAGCTTTTGTATATGTAAAAATGTCTTTATTTTGCCAATGACTTTGAAAAATATTTTGACTTGAAAAATATTTTCCCTGGGTATACATAGGATTCTAGGTTGACAGATGTTTTCTTTCAGTACCTTAAAGTTGGTGTTCCACTGTGTTTTGGCTTGCATTGCTTCTGATAAGTCTGATGGCATTCTTTTCCCTCCACAAATAATATAACTCTTTTTTCTCTGTATGCCTTTAAGATTTTCTTTGTTCCACTTTTTTGAAGCAATTTGATTATCATAATCTTTGATGTCATTTTCTTCACCTTCCGCATGCTTGGGGTTTGTTGAGATTCTGGAAACTGAGGATTTGTAGTTTTCATCAAATTTAGAGAATATTTGACCATCATTTTTTTGAATATTTTGTTTCCTTCCTCTTAACTTTCTTGGACTTCATTTAAATGTAAATTGAAATAATTGAGGTTGTCTTACATTTTTCTCATGTTCTCACAATTTTTTCCCTATCTTTTTTTTTATTTTTCATTTCATGTAGTTTCTTTTGTTATGTACTCAAGCTCACTAATGTTTTCTTCTGGAATATCTAATCTGCTGTTTATCCCATTTGAAATATTTTTAAATCTTGTAAATTATATTTTTTCATTTTTAGAAATTTGTTTTGTTTCTTTTTTATATTTTCTGTATTTCTGCTTAGAGCACTTATGCTTTCCTCTCCCTTATTGAACACATGCAGTATATTTCTAATTGTAGTTTTATTATATTTTCTATTCATTCTGTTATCTGTGTCATTTCTGGGTCTGTTTATATTGCTTATTTTTTTTTCACCATTATGTGTTGTATTTTCCTACTTCTTTGCATTCCTGATAATTTTTTTAAAAGCTTTTATTTTTTATCCTTTTAAAAATTGCATTGACTAGGATCTTCTTTTTCTCTTCTTTTTTTCTCTTTTTCTTTTCTTTTCTTTTCTTTTTTTTTAAGACAGGGTCTTGCTCTGTCACCCAGGCTAGAGTGCAGTGGGGCGATCTCAGCTCACAGCAACCTCTGCGTCCCCATTTCAAGCGATTCTCCCACCTCAGCCTCCCGAGTAGCTGGGATTATGGCCATGAGCCACTGTGGGCCCAGCTGCATGCCTGATGATTTTTATTAGATGTCATATATTGTGAATTTTATATTATGGGTTCTGATAGTTTCATATTTCTTTAAATATTTTGGGGTTTTTGGACTTATTTAAGTTACTTGCAAGGAGGTTTTGAGGTTTACTTTTAAGCTTTGTTAATCAAGACCTACATTTTGACATGAATTCTTTGACACCAAGGGGTTGTCCTACAGTTCAATCCAATTCTGTCCTACAGTTCAATCCAATTCAGTTCAATCCAATTACATTGCTATGTAATGTAATGTCACACTGTGGCTACACATGAGGTCCACAGGCTACCTGAACTTCTTCCTGACTTGGCTACAAATTCAGGGACTCCCATACCTCCAACCCCCCTCATTCCCAGGATCGATAATTAGGTAGAAAGACAAAACTCAAGATACTGCTATACTTACTATTACAGTTTTATTAAAAGGGCTACAACTCAGAAATAGCCAAACAGAAGAGACACATAGGGCAAGATTGTGAGGTGGGTGGTGCAGAGCTTCCATGCCCTTTCCTCAGGGAATCAGATGCGTCATCTTGCCAGCATATCAATTTGTTAACCAGGAAGCACTCTAGAGCCTTAGTATCCAAGAATTTTCATCAAGGTTTCATTGCTTAGTTTGTATCTTAGGTAGCTAGGGCTGCTATAACAACATGCTGTGGACTGGGTGGCTTAAGCAACATACATTACTTTCTGACAGTTCTGGGGGCTGGAACATCTAAGATCAATGCGCTAGCAGATTTGGTTTCTTGTGAGAACTCTTTCTTGGCTTTTTGACAGCTGCGTTCTTGCTAGGTGTACCTATTCTACTTTACCTTTCACATGACCTTTCCAGGTATGTGTGCCTGGAGAGAGGGAAAAATTTATGTTTTTTGTTTTTTCTCATAGGGATACTAATCACATCATAAAGGCCCCACTGTTATGATATGATCTAAAGCTAATCACTTCCCAAAGGCACCACCCCTAAACACCATTTCATTGGGGTAACCAATAAATATATCCCATACATTAAATGAGGTAGAGGAAAGCATAAGTGCTCTATGTAAAATTGTGAAAAATATAAAAAAGAAACAAAACAAACTTCTAAAAATGAAAAAACACAATGTTTGAGATGACATGATCATCGTTTAGTAATGATTCATCAGTTATTATTTTAGTGTACTGCTAGATTTAACCTGCTAATATTTTATTTACATTGCTTTTGCATCAATCTATGAATAGGATAGGTCTTTGTCAAACGCTTGATGTATACATACATAAAAATTTCATACACAGTACTTTATTGTTAGATAAATTAGCACTCTTCATTCTGTTTCTCTCCCCACCCCAGACCACTGTATTTCAGGCACTGTGTTGAGCAAGAGGCATTCAAAAACAAATACCCTGGTTTCTCTCTGGGAGGAAAACACAGTCTGGTAGGAGAGAGAAAAAAGGAAATACATATTTACAAAATCATGTGAAAGTGCAGTAATAAAGGCCTATTCCAGGTGATCTGGGAGTACAGGGAAGGATGTTTTTGGCACAGAAGTTGTTCAATCAATATTTGTTGAACTGAATTCACCTTGTTTAGAAGAGGATTTTTAGGAGAAATTTCACAGAGGTGTTGACTTTTGATATTATTGATAAATAAAGAAATAGAAGCCAAGTTTTCTCCTCTGAGAAAAGTGAACTACTTGGAGAAATAGGAGGTAGAGGTACCTGATTTTAATGTATCTTTCTTTATTGTAAGCAGTATCTGCAATTTCAAATAGACTGATTGTTTTTCTTTCATGAATTTGTCATGAGTCATAGTTAAGCGTCTGAATTGTCTCCCAACCCTTTACTAAAATCAACTACACATGGCTATTCTATGAGTTCAGCAGAATATTTTGGAAAATCGTTTAGTCTTTAAGTAATTTGAATGCCAGAGAAATTTAGCTTCAAGATTCTTCTTACCCATTGATTATTGGAAATGATTTAGATTGAAAGAAAGGATTCGCATGTTCTTGATATCATATGCTCATATTTCCTAGGATGTCAGCCTTTATTTCTACTTTACCTATTTCTTTTATTCTTTTTTTCACTGGTCATATTTCACAGGGCAGGAAGGGGGAGAAAAGACTGAACATGTCTTGATGTCTGTCTTGTGCTGTACATTGCCGGGCAGGTCACAGCATCCCTATGAAGGACGTATTCTTGTTATCCTTATTTTCTTAGCTACATAGAGGCTTTGGGTAGCTTACCCATGGTCATATGACTTAGTTTTGATAAAGCTGGACTTCTAATGCACATGTGTCAGAGTCCAAAGGCTACAGCCTTCCTACTATACCATAGAAAGAATTTTTTCAGACTGAAATATGCATTTCCATACATTTGTGACATACTTAGGCTTTTTAAAATCCATGCAGGTCTAACAACTATTTAGCTGAAATGTAAGACTCACTTGAGGGAGTTTGATAGAAATGCATATTACAAGACTTCATCCTCAGAGACTCTGATTCAGTTAATCATCTGTGATGCCCTGAAATCTGCATTTTTAAGAAATTCTCCTAAAAATCCTCTTCTAAAGTTCCTCAGTTGATTCTGATATCAGGCCAGCTTTAGAAATGAGAAATTTATGCCACTGCCCCCCGTGGCTGAAATTACACTGTGAATCTGAATTCATTAGTGCCTTGCAGCATGATTGCTGCCCTGAGAATGATCTATAGAGTTCATCCATGTGAAGCACTGAAATAGAGAAGGTAAATGTCTCTATGAAGGAAAATGTTGACTACTTATGGCACTTGAGGATCTTTGTGGGAGAACGCAATGTAAAGGTGTTATTCCATAGTTGGGACTCCTGTTCACCATCTTCTAGGACAGGGCTCTCAACCCAGGCTGCACATTAGAATGACAACGCCTGGGCCCCAACCCAGTTCAATTAAATTGGAATCACCGCAGTGGGGCCTGAACAGCAATAGATTTTAAAGCACTCCAAATGATTCTAATGTACAGTCAGGGCTGAGGACACTCTTCTCTCAAGTAGGGTAAAGTGAGTAAGTACGAACTCTTTTCTCTGCTGGAAATTGGAAAAATTCCTACTTAAAAATGCTGACTACTTTCTTCTATTTATTTATATTATTGAAATTTTCAGTATTAAAGGAGTCAAGGATAAAAGAATGACCAATAAAGTAATATGTTTGACCTGAGCATTTATTCTATCAACTTTACTCATCTGCAATGAACACAAAACCATTCCCATACTTTTATACGTTCTGAGATATGTCTTAGGTTTTTTAAAAGGCAGATTATAGGTAATCTAGAAGTAATTTGAATGGCTCTATAAGGAAAATGAAGTTTATATCTGCCAATTTAGGCTTAAATTGATCAACTCAGTATTCCCCTACTTGTGTATTCAACAAATAGCTCATGCCAACCATGAGATAGACACCACTGGGTCTTGGGAATGACTGGACACACTGTACAGTTCCTGCCTTCATTGCTATCTGATGGAACAGACAGAGACCAATGAGATAAATGTCACAGGAAGGTAACTAGAGGATGTTATGAGAAAACTCGGGAGGAGAACCTCACATGAAGACATTTCAGAAATCTCCAAAAATCTATTATCGTGCATCTTCTGTGCAAAGGCTAGAGAAGGAAGAGAAAAATAAAGTGAGCATTTCTCTGTGACAAAGGAATAACACACACACACACACACACAGATACAAATACAACTCTCAATGTATGTGTGTGTACATTCTTGAAAAGTGTCCTGATAATTAATTTCTCTTTGCTGTGGTAGGAATCTTTGTAATGATTTTTAGAAACTATTTTTCGTCTACCTGTACCACGGTTTAATATGATACGATTATCATTATTCCTTGTATACAGATAAGGCAAATAAGATGCTAAAATTTGCACTTATTTTCCTTTCTTTCTCCCCCTTAATCATCTCAAGGGTTGGCAGGTTGGAACTAGAATTCTCATTCTCTGAGTTTCAGAGTTGGGACAAAGCTCACTGTGTTACCTTGACTCACAAAATGCAGTGTTAGGGCCCCATTATTATGTGAATAAATGTCATATGTTTATTTTTATGGTGTGTTCTCTTTTATTTCACACCTGCTGACTATCTATACATCAAAGATACATTGGATCACTTATATTTTAAGTGATATTTGAAGATAGCTATACTAAATGATATTTTCTAAGCATTCCAAGTATCCTTCCTTTTCTTTCCAAGTAAAGCAATTGCCCTTTGTAACACAAAATTCTCATTAATAACCATTGAAATGTCATTTTTTCTCTAATTATTTTTCTTGGAATTTTGAGTTCTGCTTATTGACTTAAATTTTTTTTAATGCCCTGAAGATTTCCCTTTATAATAAAAAAAGAAGACCACATAACAAGGATGGCATTGTCTCTATGAATACCTGTGGCAAAAGAATAAAGTCAGTGTCAGGATTATCATTCTTGCCAATATCCTTTCAGTTATATTTTGTAGGATAAATTGAGAATGAAGGACAAACAAAGGCTGGAAGTCATAAGCACATGTATTCCTTTTTGGCTGAAGATATTTCAAACTAACTAGAGCAGAATTTTATCCTAAAAAAAGGTTTTTCTGATAATCTCTTTGGGCAAAGATAACCTACCAAATGATACCAAAAAGCTTTTTATACTAGATGGGAGTGGAGTTCTCACCAACGCAAAATGAAAGAAAGTATTTTCTCTGAAAAGGCCTTCATATACATACTCTTTGGAAATCTATTTGGGTATCCAGATAAATCTGTATTAATTTTCTTTCTCTTTTTATCAATAAAGATATCATTACAAATTAAACGGGGAAATTCTATGGGGGGAATATTTTGTTGAGTTATAAAAAGTAAAGCCTCTCCTACTCTTCTGATAGGTTTGAGGTAGATGCTTCTAAAATAAAGCATTTTGAACACACACAAGATGCTTAATTGGTTTTGTTACATTGACTTTAAGGATAAAAGGATATTTATTGGACTGTGTTAAAGAGGAAATAACTGTTAGAAATGTTTGCACCTCCATCCAAAATTATATTTTCAAAAATTATTCGACCCCCAATCATGTTTGTTTGTTAAAAATTTATCAAATCAATTTGTCTGCTGGCTTAAATCTCCACACATCTTTTACTTTCACAGCACGATTTTAAAAAAAGTACAAAGGGATTTTTTTGTGATGCTGCAATTATGAAATGTTCTACGGTAAGGAGTTATCGATTGTGGTGAGTCATACAGGGACCACTAGGTTATGACTCTTTTCCAGCCTTCCTTGAGATTTCCTTTGATCTGTCCTCATTTAATGGAATGATACCATCTCAGCATGGACACTGCAGACCGACAGAGGTGGCTACCTTTCCAACCTCTCTGCCTGATTCACACCCTGAAGGGGAACAGAAATGTTGTATAAATAGATTGAACCTCAGAGTTTGCTCTGAGAGAGCAAAAGTTTACAATTGTCACAGCAAAATGAAAAAGTATGAGAGATAGTGAATGCTGGGTGCTTGGAGGTAAGTGCCACCGCCCCCAGTCTAATGGGTAATAGAGTCATTAATTCTGCTGATTAACTTGGCCTTGGGGTTCATGGAAATGACATTCATCTCTTTTTTTTGTTATAAGCGCACACTGTGGAACGAGGAAGCATAAAAAAACAAGCTAATTAGGGAGAAATCAGGAGAAAAGAAGCAGAGAGAAAAGAAAGACAGTTTGAGCATTAATGAGACTTGTTTGGGGAGAGACTGTGACAGGCTCTTCAAAAGTATTATTGTCAAATGTGTCACTGTTTCATAGATGGCTAGAGCTACCTTTGAGCTTCATGCTGATAGTTAATGATTTGAAACTATAAAAAGATTGAAAAGGTAAAAGGGAAAACGTCAGACTCAACTGGATTTTAATGAGCTTATTATTATTTTTTCCTAAGAAAAACAGTGCTGGAAAGTAGAGAAGGTCCGCATTCTTTCTATCCCTTGCTCTCTGGATTTCCATTTCTTTCTTAGAGGTACAGTTGGCAAAGGAACAGTAGGAGAGGAATATCAAAAGTCTAAACTCAAAGACCTGGGACGTTTCACTCTTCTGTGAGGATGGGTGGTGATGAGGGCAGCGGCGGGGTTTGGATGACAACAATAACGAAAGATTGATGGAGAGGACAGCAATAGTGCTTGTTTGTTTTTTGGTGACGTGCTGAGCGGAAGCCATCTTCACACTGTGAGATGTAACAAAGAAATCCAAAGTGATTATGCAGGTTCATTTGTCAGTATCACTGCTCCAGCTATTGCTGTGTGCAACAATGAGATGACAAGGCATTTATGGCTGATGGTTGGTTATTAGTGGCATTATAAGAAACATTAGAGCAGAGTAGGATCCATAGACCAGGGAGACAATAGCTTTCTGGGCTCTGAACTCAGCAGGGTAGCCTTGTCATTAAATTTGGTAGTGCCAATTTAATTTTCTTTTAAATAAACCTAGAAGAAACTTTGAAAATGAATTCTGTAGCCCCATTTTTACCTTAATAGGAACTGTCAGGATTTCAGTCCCTGGGCTCTTAGTTATGTGTTAGTAGGCTGAGCACATAGAGAAGACTCACATATTTTCAAAAGAATTGAATGCTAGTGGAAAAATCAGGACCAAATTTCAATTCTTTTCTAGATGATTTTCTTGTGGTCCTTGAAACATTAAATTCTGATTTTAGTACAGTACCTAGGAACAAATTACTAAGCAGGTATTAGGGTCAGACCAACATTCTTACTAATGAGTTTCTGATGAATTCTTTTCAGAAATAAGACACCTGGTTTACAGACTTAAAAGTGGGTAGCCCAGTTCATTGCGAAGCAAGGGGGCTGCATATAAAATAGAGACCTGAATTCCTTTGTGTTCATTCAGAGTTTGTCAGCCAGATTCCACTGATGCAAATAACCCTGAATTCACTGTGCGCATATATCTGGGCTTGGTATATGCAAAGGTGTATTTTTTTGATCCTCATACTTGTAGAAAGATTGTAAACAGAATAGAAATGAAAATACTCATCTGAAGAAGATCTTGGGTCACCCTAAGCCATTGAGAATATGCAGGAGAGATTTTTTTTTCCAAAAAGTTACTTCTTTTATTGACATTTTTATTCTAGAGCACTGTTAAAGCACTAATTAATTGTCAGACCAATTTCATTTAGTAGAAATTAGTAAGATAATTCTGCTGTTGGGCAAAGAAGGCATGGTGGTTTAAATAAACGTGGACAAGTTTGTAGTCATTAGCTAACTTACGACTCACAGCTTGGAAATATATTTCAGAACTTCTCTTATTTTTGCTCAAGACATTAGGTGTACACTCTTATTAGTTTTCAATGGCTTTCCTTTATACTACTGTGGACCATGAAAATAAAGTTTCTGCAATTACAAGGAAGATGGAGACACATTAGGCATCTCCTTTGAGAAGAAGATGGTCCCTAGAAGAACTAGAAGCCCTGAAAAAGTAACGAGGAAGGAAGAGAAGATCAGATAAGTGTGCTGTCTTCACTGGCGTATACCTTGTTACCTGCTAGAATTCAGGGTTCTGTGTTTTTATCTATCTTTAGGCAGGAGGCTGTAGAATTGACTGGGCTGGTAGAGTGAAGTGGCATGGAGCAAATTACCTTCATTTTGAGATATTCTTATCCTAACAACTCGAGTGTGAGATGACATCGATGTATCACTTCTCTTGCACCAGCAGCATTCTTAACTTGTTGTGTTATTCCCAGATTACACATATCTTAAAAGTCAAATGTTCTCCTGATGGCAGAAAGCTTGATCTCTGACTTCCAGAAAAAAAGCAAAGGATTTTTTTTCCTTTTTGCTATAAGAGAGATGTGCAAATACCCAAATACTTTTGATTACCTTAAAAGAGTTAACACCTGGAACTGAACCATTGTGTTCACCGATGCTGGGCATAGAGAAAGTCTACATGAATTATAGAAGATATTTTTACAAAGTTTATTGGAGGAAATAAGAGATGGATCTAACTGGAAAGTGGACTCTTTCTTGGGGAGTGCCATTTCCCTGAGGGCTCAGTTTAGGAATTTCCTCTTTTGGAAGCCCTTCCTGATTCCTATGAGCTGGATTATAACTCTTTGCACTTTTCTGTGATTGCACTTAGTACATTTTATTATAATTATTTGTTTATATGGCTGTGCCCTTCTATTTGAGGACACAATAATAAGAAAAGAAAATAGGTACAAGTGTTTAAAATGGTTGTTCTTGTGAGCACAGCTTTAAAATAAGAAAATGATTTAAATAAATCAATTTCAATCTTTTTATTATATTTTTCTTGTTCATCTTTTTAAGCTTCCTTCATTTTCTCCAGTTTTTCTCTGGTCTTTTTTTTTTTTTTTTGAAATGGAGTCTCATTCTATCACTCAGGCTGGAGTGCAGTGGCTCTGCTCACTGTAACCTCAACATCCTGAGCTCAAGCGATCCTCCCACCTCAGTCTTGAGAGTAGGTGGGACTACAGGCGTGTGCTACTAGGCCTGGCTAATCTTTGTATTTT